>NC_000001.11:234668970-234820485 GCF_000001405.40 Homo sapiens
AACATTCAGTATCTGTTAAGTAAATGACTGAATGCATTAGTAAAATTTCAAGTGCTGCTTTTCTTTAAGTTAGGAACTGTTTCATTACATTGAAATCTCCAGCGGCTAGCACAATACCTATTGTAGATATCTAAGTTATGTTTGATGAATGAATGAATGGTCATAAATTTTGAATATTAAATTAGACATAATAAGAACAGTTTATCAACTCTAAAGCTTTTGAAAGTGCCCAGATAGTCTCTTCAGAATCACCACAAAATTATTTATCGGCCTCTTAATCCATAATTAAACGTGCTATACCTCTATTTTTTGAAAAATTACTTCTTCAATATTTTTTGTTTTTTTATCACTGTGACTATGAAAAGATTACTCAACTCTATTGATTGCCAATATAGAATAGTTCAGCTACATGATGATTTAATAAGGGTTTTATAGACTGGGAACTCAATTCTCATCTATTTACGATATTGTGTTCATGAGAAAAATGGATTCCAAGGTCTAAAACAGACTTTATCTAATGCTTTCTGAAAATACGATTCATTTAATAATATAGACACTTAAATGGATTTTATTTATTCTCAAATACATGGCATAACCTCAAATCTCAAAAAAGGTCATGGGGTGTCAGACCTCAGTATGATTTTCTGTCATATTTAAGTCAAGTGGCTTTTTTTCTTCCAAATTGCTCACCCCTACAACCATTCTTTTATACTTGTTGAATATAGATTTAATTATTGTCATATGCAGTGAGTCTCTGCTTTTTATCAAGTTTCCCATTCCTGGAAAGTTTATGACACAGTGAATTGACTCAAAGTAGATTATATTTTACCTTAGGAACAACAATAGAATTGAAGAGTTTTGTTCTTGATTTAACATCAAATAAATTTTAGATACAGCCATAATATGTCACAAAGGCAAAAACACAACAGTTTTAAACCTCTATAATCAATTACAAGAGTAAAATTAATGTCCAAGCCATTTAAAATGGGGTTAAGTTGATTATATGTTTTCTAATAAAAAGGGCTCTGTGTCTATGTGTGTGTGTGTCTATAAAATACAAATTTTCCTTGTTTTTCCACCTCTTCCTTGACGGTCCATTCTGTACACTGGCACCAGATTAATCTTTTACAGGTGAGACTCCAAGTTCACAAACCTTCCCCAGCTCACCTTCATTCACAGGGCCAAGTTGGAACCCTTAGCATAAAAGTTCCCCTCACAAGAGCCTCAGCTCCCTCCACACTTCTCCAACTCCTTCTAAATCCTCGCCTGCTGCTTAGCAAACTAGTTAACAGCTCCTGGCCCTTCACATGCATCCCCTCTCTTTCCCTGCCTTGATTCCTTGGTTCTCCTATCTGCTCAACCCGTGACCACCTCTCCACCACAGCAAATCCTGCTCGTCCTTCAAGACTCTGCCCAAGTCCTCTTAGGCCTCGCACACCATCCCTCTAGGCAAAAGGACTCCCCCTGTCCGACCCTAGAACACAGATTCAGCAGGGCATCATGGCTTGTGCTACCCAGGCTGGCTGGCTGAATCCCTCTGCCACCGTACTTCAGGAAGAAAGGGAGAAAACAAATTTACTGAGGACCTCCTATGTGTCAGGTACCCAGCCGAGCATTTTTATAAATGTTCTCTCACTCCTTACCAGGTGGGTACTGGCATTTTCATTTTGACAGCTGGGAACACAGAGAATAAATAACTTGTTGAAGTAACTCAGCTGAGAAGTGATAGGACCAGAATATAAGCCTGGAAAGGACACGGGAAGGATATAAAACTAAAAAATCAGGAGATCTCCAATTTAATTAACCTTTCTGAATCTCATTTTTTTTTTTCTCATTAACGGAAATGGCTAACAACACCTACCTCATGGAAATGTGCAAATTAACTGAGGACATTATTTTGAAAGGCTTTATCAGCTGTGGAGGTTTCTTTTCTCTTGGTGCCTAGCACACTCCAATGCTTAATAAATATTTGTTACTAGATTGATTTCTACGTCTTCTCTTAAAAGCTGCACTATCTGTTAGTCTCCCATGCCACGTCTCCCTGCTCTTAGCTGGTTACGATAATATTCGTGTACCCAACTTTGAAAAAGAAATCATGCCATGATTTGCTGAGAACCATTTCCAGGTCCAGCATGATGAGAGAGTCAACACTTACCTGCACACATTTGCAAATATTGCGTAATGTGCTCAGGAGAGAGAATTCCTCCCAGTATTTTTGTAACCTGTGTTCGGTGGTGCTAACTAATTCTAATGTGTAACATCAGTTTGCTTCTCCCCCTTGAAAGATAGCAACTGTCAATAATCATCACCGTGTCTCCCACTTGCAGAGCTCACTTAAACCGTCTAAAAACCCTTGATAGGGAGTGATATCAGCCTTTTCCCTCTGGACCAAGCTACCTAAGGAAAGCAGTATTGGTCTCATGCTAAGTCATTTGTTTTTGCTAAGAGTTTTATTGTTCCTTCACACGATAGTGATAACTGAGTTTTGGCTTCTAACTTATCTTTCCATGCCTTCTGAGTATTTGCACACTATATTTGGCATATTTCATGGTCTGTGCTTCTGTTCTTTATTTCGATTTTCAGTTTCCTCCTTCGCCCCTCCTTCTTTCCATGATTACCCAGCTGAGCTCCATGCAAACATGTCTTCTCTATTTATTCACATCACAATATCATTTTGACCCTCAGCTTTCCTATTTCATGTTTCAGAAATTTCCCCAAACAGTACTCCCTTGCCCTGGTGTAATTAGAGCTCCTATCTCTGAACCTCTAGAGTTACAACTTGCCCTGATCCACAGTTTCTTTCCTGCTTGTGAATTTCCTTTCCTCTAAGTAGTAAAATTAGTAACTCTTTGCATTTCTTAATTGTAGTTTCAACAGCTTGGATTCTTTTTGTAGGAAACTTGCTTACTCTTTGGAGCTCCTTTTCCACCACAACTAGGCCGTACAAAACCAAAGTTATTTTTAAGATGGAGTGGTCCTCAAAAATAGGCACCAACCAGTGCTTTTGTACATAAAGTCAATAACTTCTAGATATAGATTTTCTTTCTCTACCATACGCCCCTGCTCTATACAATTACCCAGTGATCAAAACAGAAACCTTAGCCAAACAAACGCATCCTATGGTGTGCAATGCTTTTCCTTTCTTATCCAATATACAAGGCTTTTTCACTCTGCCTAGTTCAACTCTTCATAAATATTAATCGGTCCCATTGATTCATCTTTCCATTTTACAGCCATTAATAGACACCTCTCTGGATGGACATCACATAGTTTATCCACTTTAACCAGGCTGATCGATTCTCTTTTCTGAAGAACGCTTGCTTTAGAGAAGTCAGGGAAACCAATTTCTCTTCTTGTTTTCTTTTACCAGTCTTCTGAAGAAGAGCCAAAGGTGAGAGGCGCTCTAACCCATGAGGCTTTTTTTTCCCCTTCCTTTCTGTCCTCACTCACAGCACCTCTTTCTTTGCCCCAAAGCGCTCCCGCCACATCTGTGCCCCAATACCACTTGTTACTTAGCATCCATGCTGGCTGGCTGCCGTGGCCACACTTACAGGTGGTGTGGGTGGGCACTGTTCTCGGTCCACACATCCTCCCCAAGAACCCTGTTGAATGGAGATGTGACAGGGCCAGGGGTCACTTAAAGATTGTTCACAGGCTGCTAACAGGCTGGGGGAACAGTGGGTCCAAGTCAGAGCTGCTCTTGCCGTGGGTGATGGCTGGTCTTCTTTGGTTAAGCTGACCCAGCACTGCTCAGCCAAGTCTCTCATGGTCAAGTGTTATTTCTTCCAGGTAGTGGCCCAAACAAACATTCTTGGAAGGCCACTTTCCTTTGTTAACTTTATTAACAGATAAGTCTCTAGTACGAAAGAGTTCTGGGGCCACCTGAGGCATAGGGACAGTTTCTGTGCTGCTTGAGAATAATCCCTTTGGGAGATCATTCGCTTAGCGGCCAGAGACTTGTGTGAGCCTGAGAGGTAATTAGGTTATAGGTGCCGAGCAGATCCACTTGTACCAGCTGTTCTGGAAGAGAAAGCAGATGTGTGAATGGAAGAAAGAGATGCATTCGAGGTTACAGAATGAAGGTCAGCGGGAAAGATGAGAATTCAGGATTCTCACTGATAGTTAGAGGTTTGTTGGTTTTTAATTCCCAGAAGAATCATGAAGAATGGATAGTAATAATAATACTTGACCCATGCACACTCTTTTATATACTAGACACTGTTCTAGTGGTTTAAATGTATTCACTTATTTGATCTTCATACCACCCATAAAAGTCCCCATTTAATAGATGAGGGAAAAGGACACCCACAAGTTCAGTAAGGTGGCCAGGGTCACACAGGGAGAAGGATGTAGGACCAGGACTCAAACCCTGGCAGTCGGGACCCATAGCCTTAACTGTGTGTGTGCGCACGTGTGTGTGAGAGAAAGAGACAGTGGGGTATGTTTCAAAGACAGACATGGAGGTGGTGCTATGCATATGGTTCATATGAGTCCCCTCCAAAGACTATTTCCAGACTAAATAGTGGCTCCAAAAGCTGACATTTACTGAGCGCCTATTAAATCTTCTCGAATTCTTACAATAATTCAGCAAGAATTTTCAGTTTTGAGGTGAGAAAACAGAGATTCAGAGAAGCGAAGCGAATTGGCCAAGATTACCCAGATAGTAAGGCAGATGGCGGACCAAGACTTGAGTCCAGAGGCCAAGCTCTTTGTGGCCCACCTTGTCTGGAGAGGGCCCCCTCACCTTGTCAAGTGTATGAGTCAATCAGACTATGAAGTAGCTCACAGAACTCTTTCATAAATTTGTTTGCATTTTCATTACACATATTATCCAAAAGAATCTTGTATCCTATGTCATCTGGCTGATAAATTTCTGATCTCACTCTATGGATCACTGGAAGAAGAGAATGGACTCCTCCTTGCTGATCATTTTTATGTGGAATATCAAACCAATGTTGTGGATTCATTGACATGCATATACTTCAGAACTAAAGAGAGAGCACAGTGATAGTCCCTGAATGCTTGCCCTAAGGAAGGAGCTTCCCCAAAATACAAGGCAAGAAGATGCTACACGGGTCTTTCCACTCCACAATTTCACTTAGGATCTGATTGTTTTTGCATTTTCCCTTTCGAAGAATTTTGTAACTAGCCAGAAGGTAAGAATGTCACCTCCGTCCTAATCTGGACATGAGCTAGGATCTAAACTTAATGGGCAAACTCATGTGTGGCTTCGGGCAGCATCATTTTGCATGGGGTTTTGTCTGAAGGTGGATGAAGATGCAGGTAGCTGAGGGGGACACTAACATGGGGAGGCCAGTGTGGTGTCTGTTTGAAACTGGTCTGTAGCCCAGCATGGTCCCCAGGCCAGAGGATCTGCAGGCAAGACTGTAGGTGCTGATTTATGAGGGGCTCCGGGAGAAGGGGCCAGGAGCAGTTCTGCTTTGGAGGAGTTGCACAGGGTGGAAGAGAGGTCTATTACCCCAAATCAGGGAGGACCTAGATGTTCTCACTGAGGAGTAGGGGCCAACTGTAGCCATCAGCTGGGTGGGGACTGGGCAGCTGAGCAGAACAAAGGAAGGACTGTTTGTGAGTACCTGTGAGACACCCCTCAGGGTCCACAGAAAGTCTTGGAGAGGGGTGCCCTCCTGTACTGGGAGCGCTGCAGAGATCAGAGCCTGTGAAATCTGGATCGTTGCTATTAGTGTGACTCATTAGTATCCACAGACTCCCAGCCATGGGGATATATGGTTTATAAGAGCAACACCCGTAAGAGTGGGGAGTGGGGTGGTCCATGAATACAGGTGTGATGGGTTCTGTACTACCAGGCAGCCTGTGAAAAGGAGGTAGGGTCATATTTGTGCTTGGGGTATAGGCATGTGATAAGTGAATAGATAAATAGTTCTCTTGAAAAGATCTCTCAGGTAGGGCCTTGAGTTTCAGGGTCACAAATATGATCCAAGTTGCAAGATCTCAGAGTATGGAATTCTGAGACTCTTGGACTTAGAAACAAAAACACATAAACAGGAAGCTCTGGAAGCAGTGGAAGAACCTGGAAAAGCCCATCTGTCCAGAGGCTGTCAACAGTGGGCACAGCAAAGGGCACGTTCACATTGGCAGGTGCACAGCATGGACTGAGCCCAGGGAGTTTCCGGAGGTGTGGGGTGCCTAGGTATCCAGGCATGTTCACAGGCAACCACATACAGACCCATTTCGAGGGCAGGTGGGGCTCAGTCTCCAGGATTTCCAACTTACCTGACACTATCCCCCAATTCCCAAGCAGGTGTTTGAGCCAGACTCCCATGCAAGCAGGGACAGGACCCCACCCTGTGCCTTCACTAGTTTTGGGAGACCACCAGCAGTGCTGGGTGCAGTCCACATATCTGCTGAGTCTTTCATCTTCATATTGTGTCTCGGTACTTTTAATTAAAGGATCCCAGAAAGCCGACTCCTAAAGGAGGCTGGTGTTGAGCCAGGCCCTTATATAACACACCTACTTGCTATAAACAAGAGCACCAGAGAAAGGTTTCCAATTGGATTGAAAGTGTTCCCCCTTTTGTCTGCAGTTTGGACAACTTCAAGGCTGTAAAGATGAGTCTACCCCACATATATTATTGTCCTTACATGTTCTCTCCCTTTTTGTTCTCTCCCTTCTAACTCAACCTTCAACTCCCTATCGTGGAAGGAAATATAGTTGTTGTGTGTGTGCATGTGTGTGTGTGCCTGCGTGCATGCATGTATGTGTGAATGTGTGCGTGTGCGTGTGTGTTTCTCAGCATAATCCGCTTTAGCAGGCTGCTAGATCTGACCAGTAGCAGCAGCTGTGGCAGCTGCAGCAGTGGCTGATTGCACTGGAAGGGCATGGATAAGCCTGTTTGATGGAACCAAGAAGGAAGGCATTTAAAACCTTCATGTCTTTCTACTGCTCTTTGCAAGCCCTCATTAGCTTCACTAGAGGGAAAACTTATCTTGTAGGGTTCAGTCGCTGTCTTCCTCTGGGCACACAGCACAATCAGGAGGGATTTCCATTCAAAATAAAGGAGGTGGAGTTGGATTTTTAAAAAGAGAGAAAGGGAGAAGAGCATACTCTCTCTCATCTGCTGAAACTCACTGAGCCAGGTGACCTCCTGAAAAGGTAGGAAGACATTGGTTTTGCCTCCTACTCCCTCTTGGCTCTCTGACTCTGAGACCCACAGGCGGTCCCAGTCAGTAAACGGGGTTTCTGGTCCTGTATGAGTGTGCTTTGTTTTCCGAGGGAGTCTGAATACTACCCATCCAACCTTCTATATCGTCTTTTTCCCTGACGTGGAAAGATTACAGTTCCCAGATAGATGGCTGGAAATTGCTTCGGGGAGAGGGTAGAGTGGTGACTGGTGGGAATAAAGGATTCTGGATGGGAAGCCCCGGAGGAAGCCACTGACCGCAGTGCATGCTGGGGGTTGTAGTTCTCGTGTACTCCACGGGTAAACAAGTCAGAGAAGCAGGCAGAGGAACCAACTCAGTAAAACCCGAGCTATGTGAGATGAATGCTTGCTGGATCCCGGGATTTAGGCTAAAGTGGGCCAGCCTAGCCTGCCTGCTGAAGACATAAGAAAGGTATTCAGTCTCCTTATCCACGTTTATATTTTGCCACTTGATCTGTCAAGAAATGAGTTAAATGTTTTAAAGTTTCCCATCGCTTTTTTTTCCCTGTCAATCCCTTACACTTTGAACAAGTTTTCCTTTATATATGACCTGGCTACATTATTCAGGGCTTAATATGTATGATGGAAGATCATATCCTTTGTCAACAAAATATTACCTTCTCTGACCCATGAATTCTTCCAGTCTTGAATTTTAATTGGACTGACAATCATTTCGTGATATTTTTCTTTTTGCTGTGTTTTCTGGGTCAGTCTTTTAATTTTTATGAGTTAGTATGCCTCTTGTAGACAGCATAAAGTTGAATTTTCTAGGAAAACATAAATTAACTCAATAAGTAGATTCCCTGATAAATCAGTAAGTATAGAAGATACTAAATAAGTTGTCAAAGGCTGCATTCAATAAAGTCAGGCGGCTCAGATGGGTGTGTAGTTTGTTTATGGGTGAGTTTTTTCAAACCTTCAACAAAAAGTTAATTCCCATTCTAAACAAATTATTGCAGAACACAGCAATATATGTAAATCTTTCCAAATCTACTTATAAATTCCAAATTAACTTATAAACTTGTAATCTTGTTAACAAGTCTGATGAACCTAGGGCAAAGGAGGCAACTGACACTAATATAGCTTACAAGTATGGAGAAAAAGCTTTAAAATGTTTTAGCAAATCAAATCCAGCAATATATTAGAAGAAGACTATATCATACCAAGGATATTTGATTACTAAAATGCAATGATGGATCAATGTGAGAAAACTAATAATACAAAGTATCACACAGAAAGGTTTGAGAAAGGAAAAATGATTATCGCAATAAATACTAAAAAGGCATGTGGTAAAATTCAACATTCATTCCCAATAAGACCTATTAATTAACAAATACCCACCATCATAGTTAACAATGAAATAATAAAGATGTTCTCGTTAAAATCAGGAAACAGTTGAGGATGTTAATTACCACAAATGTTGGTAAACATTTTCCTAGAAATTCCCATTATAAGACATACAGAAAAACAGTAAAAACATCAAAAAGGATAAAATTATTACTTGTAAGTTATATGATTAGTCTGTCCAAAGAAACTTGAGTATAACCTAATCACTTTATATGCATCCTATGAAGCAAGAATTGTATCACCCCCATTGTACAAATGAGGACACCAAGGCCCAATGTCATACACCTAGTAATAGGACTGGCATTTGAATCCAGGTAATCTGACTCCAAAACCCTTTCTCCTAACCACCTGTGTTACACTGTCTTTCCTTGTTTCACTCTATAAAGTTTAACTATCATTATTATAGCAATATAAGAAATACTTTTCCTACACACCACTAATAACCAACTAACAACACATTTAAAAGAGTATTTAAATTTAAAATAACAAAACAATATAAAATTCATACAAATAAACCTAACAAGAAAAGTGCACCCAAAGAAAAGTTAAAAATTTAATAAGGGGCAGAAAAGAATATTTGAACAAATAAAAAGATGTATAATTTCCTGGATAGGAGGACAAATAATGGGAAGATGTAAACTTTTTGGAGATAATTTACACATTTAATGCAATTCCAATTCAAAATCTGAAGAGATTTTATTTGTTTGGAATTCAGTGAAATGATACATATATTTTATTTGCAAGAAAAAATGAGAACAACCAAAATTGTTTGGAAAAGCAGAATAAGGAAAAATGACTCACGTTGAAAAAAATCAAAATGCTTTATAGAGCTATAATAATTTAAATTGTACAATTCTATACCTAGCCATATCAATGGAATAAAATATAAAGTCCAGAAATAGATACAAATATATATAGTATACAATAGAGACATTACCTCAAAAAAAGGAAGGGAAGATAAGTCATTTAATAAAAAGTGTTCTAAAAATAAATGCAAAGAAGGTATCACAAAATAAACAAATGATTGATTTGCCTCTGCACATATTTTAAAATACGTCAAAAAATAGCAACAAGTTAAGAAAAAAAGATAAACTGGGAAAATACTTTCACAACATATTCCAAAGATATCCTTAAAATATAAAGAATTGTTAAAATTAACAAGAATAACTAGGAAGAACAAGAAGAAGAAGCAGAAGCAGCAGTAGCAGCAATTAAAAGGTAAAAATTAATGTGGCCAATAAACACATGGAAATGTGCTCACTTTACCAGTAATCAAAGACAAGCTGATTAAAATATTTTATATGTAAAACGACAACTATATACATATATTTTAATCACCGGGTATTTTATCAGCAAGAACCAGTTTAAAAATATGCTGGAAAATTTACTCTCAATAGCAACTAAAGCCATAAATTACCAAGTTACAATACTATAAAAATACACTCTTTGAATTTTCTAACACATGCACAGATTTGATTAAATGAAGATCTATATCATGATTCTGAATGGGAATGTTGAACATTGTAAAGATGTAAATTCTACAAATTATTGCAAGAAATGTATCTTAACATTGTGGACGCATCTTACAAGCATAAGGCCAACAAAAGAATCCAGTAACGAAAGTTTCCACTTTTTGCAACTTACCATTTATATAAAGTTTAAGACCAAGCAAAACGAATCTATGGCAATTGGCGGCATGAGATTGTGACCTCTGGAGCAGAATCAATGTCCAAGATAGGGACACAGGGTAAATGCTGGGTGGGGTCACCTTCGTTGCTTCCCTTGGGTGGTGGATACCTGGGTGTGCTCAGTAAATCCAATGAGATGTCTGCTTATGATTTGGGCACTTTTCTGTATAAATGTTACATTTCAATAAAAGGTTACTTTAAAAAAAGGAAAAAGCATGAACTTAGGTTCTTATGCCATACTTTATAATTATAAAACATCTAGCGAAAGGTAAGTGTTAAACATAAATATTAAGTAATAAAATATGAGAGTATGTGCTCGGTGAGAGCAAGCTCGTTTTTAAAACAGTTTGCTCACTGTTTTATTCCCAGCCCGTGGAATAAAACCTGGTTCCAACAGTGCTTAATATTTATTGAGTGGATGAATTAGAAGAAAATGCCAGTGAAAAGTTAACTGGCATTGGGTTGAGAAAGGGCATTCTAAATATAAACATAATGGGAAATAAAACATATATTAAAATACTGGCATACTTAGCCGCCAAACATTTAAAACTTCTGTAAGTAAAATACATAAAGAACATAAACAAAATTAAGGTAGAAAAACAAACTGGCAAAATATTTATAATAAATATGACACTGAAAATTAATATTTTTAACAGGTTAAGCACTTAACGGTTAATAAGGAAAACACTAACATTCCTAGGGAAAATGGGTAAAAGCAAATGGACAATTTGCAAAAAAATACAAATGGCCAACAAACACATGAAAAGATGTTTGAGATGATTAATAACCAAAGAAATGCAAATTAAAACAGCAAAATACCAAAGTTTTTGGTTCGCCTATCACATTTTTCCTTCACTTACTCAACAAATATATTTTTGAGTGGCTATTACATCAGGCATGCCTGGGGATTCCATAGAAAAAGAAATCCGCTATGCCCCCACCCCTCAGGGAGCTTACATTCTGGAGAGGAACATAATAGACAATAAACAAATTATTGGGCACATATTTAGTGTGTCAAGTGATGATAATTACTATGGGGTTGGAAGGGGGAGTGTAAGTTCATGGACTGTAACAAATATACCACTCTGGAGTGTGGGATGTTGACAGTGGGGGAGGCTGTGTGTGTGGGGGGGGCATATGGGAATTCTATACTTTCCCCTCAGTTTTACCATAAACCTAAAACTGTTCTAAAAACAGTCTATTAAGGAAAGAAGCAAGAAAGAAATAGGAAGTGAGCGAGAGAGAGAGAAAAGAAAAAGAAAGAGAGAGGAAGGAAGGAAGGACGGAAGGAGAAAGAGAAGAAAGGAAAAAGGAAAGGAAGGAAGAAGAGAGGGAAGGAAGGAGAAAAAAAGAAGGAAAGATAGGAAGAAAGAAGGAAGGAAAGAGAAAGACAAAAGAGAGAAAAAGAAAGTGAAAGAGGGAGGGAAGGAAGAAAGAAGAAAAAGGAAAGACAGAAAGAAGGAAAGAAAGAAAGGAAAGACAGAAAAAAAAGAAAGAGGAAACAGGCAAGCAGAGTAAGAGAGATAGGGATGTGGGGCTGGCGGTTGGGAGATAGGGATGCGGGGCTGGCGGTTGGGAGACAGGGATGCGGGGCTGGCGGTGATGGTTGCTACTTTTTATGGAGGGTTTTTGAAGGCGTCTCTCATAAGATGGCATTTGAGCAGAGACCTGAGGAAGTGAAAGATGGAGGGCTGAAGCTTCCAGTTAGAGGAACAAGCAAAGACCCCGAGCAGGATCAGGTTTGATGTCTTCAAGTAATATCCAGGATGGGATGAAGCTGCAGGGGAGTGAGCAAGGTGTAGACAGGTAGAAGGTGAGGTTGGAGGAGTGGGTGGACGGGGAGGAATCATCCCACAGGGCCTTGTACGCACTGCAAAAACTTTAGTCTTTTGCTCTAAGAAATTAAGTCCGTTAATTAAAAACAAATGAACAGAAACAATTTTGGCTTTTACTCTGAATGAGAATCCACTTAGGGGTTTTGAGCAGAGGTGAGACATGATCTAACTTACATTGCAAGATGGTCTCTCTGGCTGCTGTGTTGGGAACAGACTGTAGGGGCAAGCGTGGGCACTTGGAGGGCAGGGAGGGGGCCACCACTGTAGTCACCCAGGCAGAGAGGTGGTGACAGACGAGGTGTCAATTGTGGAGGTGCTAAGAAGTGGTCACTTCATCTGTATATACAAAGGAGAGCCAAATAGATTTATAGAGCATAGCAGGGAAGAATCAAGAGTGACTCCAAGGTTTGGGGCAGGGGCATAGGGTAGAACCAATGGATTGTTGGGGATCATCCTACTGGAGACAAAGAATGGTTGGAGTATTGGGGAGTGAGTTAAAAAGAGAAGAGGTAGTGCCTGGAGAACGGGAGGCTTGACGTTGAGATTATGGAGGAGATGCAACTACTGGGAATGATAACACCAAAGGTGGAACCCTGCGAGTAGGTAGCTGTGTGGGGTGGAGTCAGTGGTGGGGTGGAGAGCAACAGCATTGGAGAAGAGGGCAAGGAACTGGGAGTCCAGAGAGGGAACAAGTGAAGACTCAATGTGGGTATTGATGTCACCAAGAATTATGACATGAGTTGTGTTAGAGACAGGGAACGTGAGCCATACACTGAAATCCTTAATAAATGAAGAGAGGTGTCACAGGGAGAAGTAGATGATTGAAGCCAGGAGGGGTAGCCCATGTTCTGCAACAGGAGTTTCAAAGTTAGGGGTATTTAGAGAGGGTGGAGGGAGAATGGTTTGGAAGCATCGATGGGGAAGAGGAAGCATACATCCACCACTCCAGATCAAGTAATTCAAGATATGTGGAGAAAAATGAGCTATGATGTTAAAACGCTGCAGGGAACATGGTGTCATCAGGGGAGAGCCAAGTTCTAATTAGAGCAAGAAGTTGAGAGGAGTGACCAAGTAGGAGGTTGAGGATATAGGGGATTCAGCTGATGACTGACTAGAAGTCTTCAAAAGTGGGGAGGAGTAGACGGTGCATCCAGGTTGGATG
Source organism: Homo sapiens (assembly GCF_000001405.40). Classification (NCBI taxonomy): domain Eukaryota; kingdom Metazoa; phylum Chordata; class Mammalia; order Primates; family Hominidae; genus Homo; species Homo sapiens. The sequence continues at coordinate 234,682,184 of NC_000001.11, forward strand.
TGTTGTGTGGGAATGTGTCTGGGTGAGGTGAGATAATCTGGGAGTTTGTGGTGAAGGGTGAGATGGGAGTGGTTCTGTGGGTCAATAAGGCAGATTGCAGTGATGGATTGTTGGCCAGAGGTTTGGGGTGCTGGGAAGGGGGAGTTATGAGGGCCTTTCCAGAAGCACTCAGATCTCTGCCATTCCTCCTTGCTCCTGCTCATGGATGTGTGGAAGAAACACATGGGGAAACACACGGAGCACTGCCCTGCATCAACCCTGTGGGAGAGGGGTGGACGACGGGGAGGGTCAACCTTACCTGGAGCCTACAGAGCTCTGGGGCTCCTCTTCTCTAGCGGAGGAACCAAGAAACTCGAGCAATGCTGGGAAGGGTTCAGGAAATCCAGCCCTCCCATCCACAACTTGTGGCAGTGTAACTTGGGAGTTTGTTTTTGGAAAAAAAAATTAAAATATTTAATGAGAACCTTAAAATTGTGCTGATCCTTTGTTTTTTTAATTTCTCTTCTAGGAAAGTGTGGTAGAGACATAATCAAAGATTCAGACAAAGATATAACTACAGAATGCACATGACGGTTTTGTTAATACACCAAAAGGAAAAAAATTAAATAACGGACTCTCCCAATAAATTGTGACCATCTATAGTTTGGAATAACATGAAGATTGTTAAAAACTATGTTTACAAGAATGGCAATAACAGAGAAACACTTGCTATATAATTTTCACAATAACAAGGTGAAGAAATATTATATATATATATAATAAAATTCAAATTTTTAAGAGAAATTAAAATGTATAGAAAACATTGGAAAAGGATACACTTAATAATCTTTTTTTCAGCATGGTAGAATTGTGGGTGATTTTTGTTCCCTTTATATTTTTTAATACTTTGTACTTTTTAATGACAAATGTATATACTACCATTTAATGATAAAAATATATTTTTAAAATACTGGATAAGAATTATTCAAATAAATGCCTTATTTAAAAGTTAAATTGCAGACCAAGTGCAGTGGTTCACGCCTGTAATCCCAACACTCTGAGAGGCCAAGGTAGGAGGACTGTTTGAGGCCAGGAGTTTGAGACCACCTTGGGCAACAGAGCAAGACCCTGTCTTTGCTGGGCATGGTAGTATGAGCCTCCAGTCCTGGCTACTCAGGAGGTTGAGGCAGGGGGATTGATTGAGCCCAGGAGGTCAAGGGTGCAGTGAGCTATGATTGTGCCACTTGCACCCCAGCCTGGGCAACAGAGCAAGACCGTCTCTACAAATAAATAAGTAAATAAATAAGATACAATAAAAATTAAATTGCAAATGAAAAGTTACACTCTATCTCATCCTATTGTATACTAGAAATTATAATTTTCCTCCAATTCATTACTTTGATTATTCTACAAAATCAAGACTAAACTGGAATTCAAATCAGAAAGGCTAAGAAGCAAAGAATAACAATGGTGAACTTCAAGATAAATATCCCACATTATTTTCAAGGCAGAGGCCAGTGTTGCCTTCTGCATCTGTTTTGGGAAGAGTGCCCAAAGCCTTCAGAGGAGACAACCTTTTGTGCTGTGTCCCCTACTCCCCCCCCCATTCTTACCCTGAATAGCATTCTTTCCAAAAAAGAATAAAGAATACTCAAGGAAAACTATTAAAATGCTTGGCAAAACTACACAGACAGACACAGAGGCCAATTAAGTATAAATATTTCACACCAGAACTGTCTTTTTGACCCAGCCACTAATATCTACCCGGCCACAGATCTAAATGTTTGGATGAAAACGACAGAGCAGAGGAGGGCTGGTCAGCCAGCTGCAGAGGGGCGCCCCTTCGGAGCGTTCGCATCTGCCTGAAGAATATGTGTAGTACGTTTTCCTAGAAGCATGGAGGGGCATGCGGGTTTGACCATCTTCCTAAACCTGGAGAAGGTCACTGTTTTCCTTCAGGGATTATTCTGTCTCACCGCTTTTGTTTTTTGGTTTCCCTTGATCTAAAACAAAAGGGTCTACTTTCTTCTTTGGATTTTGAAGCTGTGGGTGCCTTTCTTCTCAGTTAATTTTTTTTTTTGTTTTCATCTGTTAAGACTTAGCTAGTTTAGGTTTTGAAAATGAACACACTGACAGCCATTGTGAGAAGATAGCCTGGCCTTTTGGAGGACAAATGCTGTGGGGTGGCGTAACCTTGAGGCTCAAGTCCTGGCACTGGCATTTAGTGTGAGTCATGCTGTATTGCTTCACCTCCTGGGCTTCAGTCTCTCCATCTGTGAATGTAGAATGACAATACCTGCTGTGCTGTAAGGTCACTGTGAAGATTAAATGAGATAATGCTTTGTAACCTGTTGGCCTCTGTGCAGTTTAAAATGATGTTTTTCATTACTTGGCTAAGTGCTGTACACCCACTGCTCTGTAGGCAAAATTCAAACAAAAAGCTTTGTAATGCTCCCACCCATTGAAAACATTACTATGTTAGCCTCTATATACATAAATTATTATAACAATACCTGGAAGGTAGGAAACACACTTTGAATTATATTGTTTCTAAGAGTGAGGATAAGGATTACTTTCATTCATTTATACTTTTTGGGCACCAATAATATGTATTTGTAAGATGAGATGGCCACTTTATAGATTGCATCTTGTATATTAAGAAACAATTAAATCTATTTTAAAAGTACAGCTAAAAACCTCCATTTCCCGAAATAGCGTGGATTAGATTACCTAAAATCTTTCCTACTACAAAACATCTAGAAATGTTAAAAACCTGTAATATTCTTTTAAATTCATTATTTGAATTCCAAGAAAGTAAGAAATATCCCTAGGGAAAAAAATGAAGATGGATCTGAACACCAAAATGTAAGCACAAGCCAATGTTGCAACAGCCTGGGTGGGGAAAGGGGAGTGAGAAAGTATGAAGTTGCCAATCTTATTAGGCAAGAGGATCTGCCTCTCTCAATCTCTATCTCTCTTTTTAAAAAATTAAATTAAAAAATTTCAAGCACTCACATAGAATACTATATGACACCTCCAAATACCTGTCACCTAGATTCATTACCAAAATCTTGCAACATTTTATCTTTATTGTTTGTATTTTTATCTTTGCTGAAGTTTTTACATTGAATCCTAGACATCATGCCATTTCACTTCACATATTCTTATATGCATATCTATTTAAACAGCACAGGAAAAGAGGTATGAGTATAAAATCAAAGAATTCAAACAGAGGCCTTATAATGTTAAACTTGAATTGGAAATATTAGCATGAACTCTCTCTTAAGAGAGAGTTTTATCTCTTAAGAGAAAAGGCCTGGCAAAAATGAAAACTCAGGAGCAAGAGGTCTTTGATGACTTCCTTTTTTCTGACACTGAAAGATGCCCCAGGATCTTCTTGGACATTTCTTGTCCCAAATCTGTAATTATTCATTTTTCCAAGGAAGCCTGGTCTTCTTAGTAAGAAATGACACTTAATGACCAATCCAGGACTGACACAGATCCTAGAATAAGCAAACAAGGACCTTGAAGCAATTACCATAACTGTATTCAATATGTTCAAAAAGTTAAGAAAGACATGGAACATAAATTTTTAAAATTAGACTTCTAGAGATGAAAACTACAATGTGTGAGATGAAAAACACACTGAATGGGATGAGGGGATTAACAGTAGATTTGACATTTTTTAAAAAGATTAATGAACTGGAGGACATAAGCAATAAAAAACATTCAAAATAAAAAATATAGAAAAAATAAGTTTAAAACATGAAAAAAGCATCAGTGAGCTGTGGCACAACTTCAAGTTTTTAATATAATAGGGGATCCTAAAGAAGGGGGGAAATAGAAAAATATCTGATGAATAATGGTCAAAATATTCCCCCCGATTTGATGAAAACTGTAAAACTACAATCCAGAAAGTTCAATGAATCTCAAGCACAAAAATTATGAAGAAAACTACACCAAGATACATCATAATAAAAATACTCAAAGCCAGTGATAAGAGAAAATTTTCAAAGCAGTACATTTATCTACAGAGGAACACATGTAAGGGTGATAGCAGACTTCTCATAGGAAACAATGCAAGTGAAAAGACAATGGTGCAACACCTAAAAAAAGCACTGAGCACTAAGTGAAAGAAAAACTCTGTAAACCTAGTATTGTATACCTAGTAAAATATCTTTCAAAAATAAGGTAAAAATAAAAACTACTTTCAAACATATGAAAGCTGAAAGAATTAATCACCAGCAGACATACACAATTAAACATTTAAGGAAGAAATATCAATTTTACAAAACTCTTAGAAAATTGAAGAGGAAGAAATGTTTTTCAACTTCTTATCTTTTCTTTTTTTTTTTTTGAGACAGTGTCACTCTGTCATCCAGGCTGGAGTCCAGCGGCATGATCTCGGCTCACTGCAACCTCTGCCTCCCAGGTTTACATGATTCTCCTGCCTCAGACTCCCCAGTAGCTGGGATTACAGGCATGTGCCACCACACCTGGCTAATTTTTGTATTTTTATTAGAGACAGGGTTTCACTATGTTGGCCAGGCTGGTCTCAAATTCCTGACCTCAAGCGATCTGCCTGCGTCGACCTCCCAAAGTGCTGGAATTACAAGTGTGAGCCAATGTGCCCAGTCGTCTTGTTTTTCAACTTCTTATGAGACAAGCATTACTGATACCAAAACCAGGAAAAGATGAAAAAAAAATCTACATATTAATATCCCTCAGGAGCAAAGGTGCAAAATTTCTAACCAAATTTTAGCAAATCAAATCTAACAATATGTAAAAAAGATAATATATGAGTTTCATATGGAGTTTATTCCAGGAAAGGAGGGTTGGTTTCATGTTGGAAAATTAATGTCATTTGTCATATTAATTAAAAATGAAAACCATATTATCATCTTGATATAAACAGGAAAAAATACGGTAAAATCAAACATCTATTCCTGATTATTCCAACATCTCAACAAACTATAAATAGAGGAAAATGTTCCCAATCCGACACAAATCATCTAAGAAAAATCTACAACTAACATCATACTTAACAGAAACAAGTCAGGAATGTTGGCTCTTACCACTTCTATTAAACATTTTGCTAGAAATCCTTGCCAGTGCAACCAGGGGAGAAAAAGAAATAAAAGGAATCCAGATTTTAAGGAAAGAAGTAAAACTGTCTTTATTCTTCATGACATGATTATCCATGTGGAAAATAGGATGGATTCTACAAAAAGGCTACTGTAATGATATAAGATCAATATACAATAATCAATTGTACTTCCATAAACTATCAACAAACAGAAATTTAAATTTCAAACAATTTAAATTGCATCAACAATATGAAGTCCTTGTCTGACAAAAGATGTGCAAGCTGTAAACACTGAAAACTATAAAACATTGTGAGAGAATTTTTTAAAGACCTGAATAATGGAGAGATGTACTATGCTCATGGGTCAGAAAATTCAATATTGTGATGTCGTTTTTCCTCAGATTGATCTATAGATTCAATATCCTTCCAACCAAAACCTGAGGGGGTTCTTTTGTGGAAATTGACAAGTTGATTCTAGGCTCTATATGGAAATGCAAAGAACCTAGAATAGCCAAAACAACTTTGAGTGAGAAGAACAAAATGGTAAGACTAATGCTACCTAATTTCAAGACTTACTATAAAGCTACAATAATCAACACAGTGTATTTGTGACATAAAGATAGATTAACAGCCCTGAAATAGATACACACATACTTAGACTACTGACTGTCAACTAAGGTTGATCCACTTTAAGTTAATTTTTCATATATTTTAAAAATTGCAAATATTTTTTGCAAGGCAATTTGGTAGTGAAAGGATAGTGTTTTCAACAAATGGTGTTGGAACAATTGGATATACATATGCAAATAAAAGGAGCTTTGATTCCTATTTTATGCTATATAAAAAATTAAAGTGGATCATATACCTAAATGTAAAACCTAAAACTACAAATATTCTAGAAGAAAATATAGGAAAAGAAATCTCTGTAACTTTGGTTTAGGCAAAGATTTCTTAGATACAGCACCAAAAACACAATTTATAAAAGAAAAACAAATTGATAAACTGAACTTCATCAAAATTAGAAATTCTCTGCTCTTCATAAGAGACTGTTAAGGAAGTAAAAAGGTAAGCCTCAGATTGGAAGAAAATATTTGCAAAGCATATACTGGATAAAGAACTCTCAAAACTCAATAATTTTTAAAAACCCACACAATGTAAAAATAGACAAAAGATTGGGACACTTTTCCAAAGAAGACATACAGATGGGAAATAAGCACATGAAAAAATGTCTAGTAACATTGGTTATTAGGGAAATGCAAATTACAATGGCCCTCCTTTATCTAGGGGGGAATATGCTCTGAGACCTCCAATGGATGCCTGAAACAGCAGATAGTACCAAACCCTATGTATACTGTGATTTCCCTATACATACACACCTATGATAAAGTTTAATTTATAAATTAGGCACAGTAAGAGATTACCAACAACTAATAATAAAATATTATATAATAAAATATTATTATAATAAAAATAATTATAACAATATACTATAATAAAAGTTATGTGAATGTGGTCTTTCTTTCTTTCTCAAAATATCTTTTTGTACTGTACTCACCTATGTTCTGGCCCATGGTTGACTGTGGGTAACTGAAACTGCAGAAAGTGAATCAGCATGCTGGGTGCGGTGGCTCATGCCTGTAATCCCAGCACTTTGGGAGGCCAAGGTGGGCGGATCACCTGAGGTTAGGAGTTCAAGACCAGCCTGCCTAACAGCCTGTCTACTAAAAATACAAAAATTGGCAGGGTGTGGTGGCACGTGTCTGTAAGCCTAGCTACTTCGGAGGCTGAGGCAGAAGAATTGCTTGAACCCAGGAGGACAGGTTGCGGTGAGCCGAGATCACGCCATTGCACTCCAGACTGGGCGACAAGAACGAGACTCCATCTCAAAACAAACAAACAACAAAAAAGTGAAACAGCAGAGAAAGGGAGACTGCTGTAAAACCACGATTAAGTACATGTACACAGTGTCACAGTTCTTTTTGTGCTGCCATAACAAAATACAGAAGACTGGGTAATTTATCAAAGAACAAAAATGTATTTCTCATAGTTTCTGGAGGCTGCAAGGTCCCAGATCAAGATGCTGGCAGGTTCCTTTGTCTATTGAGGACTGCCCTCTGCTTCCCAGATGGCGCCCAGTTGTGGCGTCCTCTGGAGGGGAGGAACACTGTGTCCTCACATGGTGAAAGGTGAAAGGGCAAGGGAGTCAAAAGCTGCACGAAATCTCTTAATCCCATTCATGAGTGAGGAGTCCTCAGGACCTAACCACCTCTTAAAGGTCCTATCTCTTGATACTATCACATTGGCCATTAAATGTCAACACCTGAATTTTGGAGGGGACACATTCAAACCATAATATACTCCTATTAAAATGGATAAAATTATAAGGTCTGACCATACTAAATATTGGAGAGAATGGGGAAGAATTGAAATTCTCATGCTCAGGAGAAATGTGCAATAGCACTTCTATGGAAAGCACATTTGCAGTTTTTTTTGAAAAGTTAAGTATATACCCTACTATCTGATGTAGCCTTTCCACTAGTAGGTATTTATCCCATAGAAATAAAATCTATGTCTGCACAAAGATTTATATAAAAATGTTCTTAGCAGCTTTATTTGTAGTAACCCCAAACTGGAAACGACCCAAATGTTCATCGATGGCTAAACAATTGTGACATAGTCATACAATAGCATACCACTTGACAATTAAAGGTATTGATACAGACAACATGTTGAATCTCAAAATAATTATGCTGAGTAAAAGCAGTCAGACACAAAGAGTACATACTAAATAATGCCATTTGTATGAATTTCTCAAAAATTCCAACATAAAGTAAATCAGAGGTCGCCTGGGGATATAGTATGGAGGAGGAGCAGGAGGTTAAAAAAGGCACAAGGACATTTTAGATTACAATAGATATGTTTGCTACATTGATTATGCTTTTGTGACTGTACAGTATCACCAAACTTTACAAAGTGTGCCATTTAAACATATGCAGTTTATTGAATATAAGCTGTTTAAGGATCCTAAAGAGAGAGAGAAAAGAGAATAATGATGGCAATTAATTCAACCTCATCAAATATATAAAAATTTATGGGCTGGGCGCAGTGGCTCATGCCTGTAATCCCAGCACTTTGGGAGGCTGAGGTGGGCAGGTCACGAGGTCAAGAGATCGAGACCATCCTGGCCAATATGGTGAAACCCTGTCTCTACTAAAACTACAAAAATCAGCTGGGCGTGGTGGTGTGCACCTGTAGTCCCAGCTACTTGGGAGGCTGAGGCAGGAGAATTGCTTGAACCCAGGATGCGGAAGTTGCAGTGAGCAGAGATCACACCACTGCACTCTAGCCTGGTGACAGAGCAAGACTCTGTCTCAAAAAAAAAAAAAAGTATATAATGATGAGAAAAACATATTGGTCTCCACTAGAAATCATTACTGGTAACTTTTATCACTATTCTGAAAATTGATATGGAAGAAGGAATGTCAAGTCTTGATAGTGATTTTGTTTGTTTTGTAAGTTACATTTTGAAGAATCCCAGCTAATGTGTATAGAAGGAACCACAGAATTAGAAAATCATTTTGCAAACCTTGATAAATCCGGGCAGTGATTATCCAAAGATACTGAAACCACTAGGTAAAAAGTAGATGGTGACTTCTTTTGTAATGATGGAATAAGGTCAGACACCACCTGGACCCCTTGACCAATCTCAGAATTACTAAAGAGACAACCACACATGATGTGCCTCCCTCCTAAATGTGGTGCAGTAGGAAGTAGACAGAATGACCTATGAAGTATTCTTTCAAAAAAATGGAACCTAAATCTGTATTTCATCATTTGATTTAGGGACATAGAGGAATCAGTTAAGCAACTAAATCTTAGGACACTCGTCTTAACTCACAAGACACTGATGCTGCTATATTAATTTATATTGCTTAGACCTGCTCGGATGTTTTTAAATAAATGGAATATTCATGTATTTTCTTTTGGGGAAAGCTTCTTTGTGCCTTTTCTGGAAACTGGGTATGTATAAAAGTCTCAGGCTTCAGAATGTTACTCAGTGAGTATTAAACCAGGGAACAGAGAGTGGGTGTTCGTGAGAGTATTTGACCTTGGATGCAACAGAGGTTTGTGAATTAATTTTACTTCACTCCAGAGAACTCCATTTGAACGCTGGACTATCCAGAAGAGCCGTACCCTTAAATTATGTTTCGCATTTGTATATACCCTTAAAATATGTATATGTCTATGTATTCTTAACTTACATAAATGTTAGATATTTATTTAGTATATATATTTTTATTGACAACAAGTAAAACAATTTACTGAAGGCCTACTCTGTATCAAGCACTTTTGTAGCTACTAGAGACATGATCATCTTGTGCACGTGTTTTGAATTTATATAAATGACACTCTACTATATATCTCAATCCATGTCTTACTGTCATCAGCCAACAGTATCTTATTCAGATTTCTCCATGCTGAGTGTACATCTGTTTTATTATTCTGACTACTGCATACTATTCATCAAACGCTCATATCAACCCTCCTTGTGGTAGAAACTTATATTGCCTCCAACTCATCACTACCACCAATAATACTGCAATAAACATATCCTTGGGCCTAGTCTGTTATAATCAGAGTTTGTCCAAGTTATATGCCCAGGTATGGGATTGCTAAATACCGCCAGATTGCTCTCTGGAGTGTCTACACTCATTTAGACTTCTAGAAACGTTTCATGGAAGGCTAGTTCCACAATCCTCAACAACAATTCACATTATTCAATTTAGTATTTTTCCTCCAATCTGACAGACACAAGATGCTGTCTCACTGTTGTCTTAATTGCTATTTCTTTGGTGATAAGTATTACCTTATATTTGGATTGCATCTTCATAGCCACTGCCCACTTTTCTGTTCCATCGCCTATATTTTTTTCTTTTTTTTTTTTTTTCTTTTTTGAGACAGAGTCTCACTCTGTCACCCAGGCTGAAGTGCAGTGGCATGATCTCAGCTCACTGCAGCCTCCATCTCTCAAGTTCAAGCGATTCTCCTGCCTCAGCCTCCCACGTAGCTGGGCTTACAGGCACCCACCACGCCCGGCTAATTTTTGTATTTTTAGTAGAGACGGGGTCTCACCATGTTGGCCAGGCTGGTCTCAAACTCCTGACCTCAAATGATCCACCTACCTCAGTCTCCCCAAGTGCTGGGATTACAGACGTGAGCCGCCATGCCCGGCTTATTTTTTTCTTTTAAATATATCAGATCTCCCCCAAGTTAATACGATCAATGCAATTCCAGTTCGAAGCCTAGCAAGAGTCTGCTTTGTGTGTTGGAGATGTTCCATGCATCGCAATTCCCCACCTCAGAGGGGAAGCTCCTGGAGCTCAGGGCTGCTATTGCTCTTGAAGCTCCCACAGCACTCTCCCCAGAGCCTCACTTAGAGCAGGCCTCAGTGAATGCTTATTGATGGGATCTGTGTGAGTCAAGAGGCAGCAGGAAGAGGATGCTGCTGGTAAGCTGGTCCCTTTGAAAATGCAGAATCCAGGCACGGTGGCAGAGCTGGATGGCCAAGAGTAGGGACCTGTAACACCTGAGGCATTGTTGATGGGAACACTTTAGAAAATGTTCTTTCCTGAGGGACCAGGACAAATGCCCTTTGAAATCCTATTTCTAAAAATAAAAATGAAAGGAACAGAAACAACAACAAAAAAAACTATACATTTTTTAGCTAGAAATATTCCACCTAAGAGCTTCTTTTTTCCATAGCACTGAGAGCTCATGCCAAGTGCCGTCCTGAAGCTTCCATGAACTGTAGCCAGTGACTGCCTTAGACAATCTTACATTGAGTCCTGTTCTAGATGCCAAGAATGATAATATCATTCCCTGGAAACAGCAGGCCGCTTGGAGAGTATTGGGAAGAGGCTGTCCTTGCTCAGCACCTGTCACCCAGATTGCGTGCTAACTTCTCTGGAGCTCCATCTTTATTCTACATGTTGATTAGATGCACTCAGCATAATAAATTGCAGAAGGCTTCAAAGTTTCTGTAGCTAAGTACTGCTCAGAGACAGTGACTCTGTCAGTGCTGAATGAAGACACTGGATCTTGCTTAGCTACCATGCCATGCTGAATGTCTTGGACCTGGTTCCTTTTAGCAGAAGGCTGATTAAACCCACATAGTGCTGAGATCATAGGAATGACTGTAAATGGCAATTATCTGCTTGAGGGTATGTCTTGTTTTCTCAGATAGACTGCAAGCTGCCTGAGGACATAAACCACAGATTATTCCTCCGTTTTTCTAGAAGAGAGCTATGCTCATAATTCAGCACTTAATAATTATTTGTTACAATTACTAATGAGTGCATTAATTAGAATGAATAATCAACGCTTGATGTTCAATGATCCCAGAATACATCAGTATGCCTGCTAGCCCAAGAGCCTGTATATAATACCAGAGTTTAGGTAAATAATGTATATAATACCTACCTAAACTCTGGTTTAGGTATTACAAACTCATTGAACATCAAACCTTGATTATTCATTCTAATTAATTCACTCACTAACAACTGTATATTAGTAATTATATATATTATACTGATGTATTTTGGGATGATTGAACCAATAAGGAGCAATAAGATTTTGTTGATATAAAGAGAAAAGCAAGTGGAGGAAGAGAAAAGGAGTTAAAACTGCAAAGGTATGAATGACCCCAAATTAGTATGGACTGGTTGGGTGCACATCCTGCTGGGTTACTCAGTACTCTTGGTTGTCCTCAGTATTGAAGGATTTGGTCAACGTTTCTGCCAAGCCCAATTTCTCTTTCTAGCTTAACTTGCTCTAGGTACAGCCCTGGATAATCAGGCCCTGAAGCCTAGGGTTTATTAGTCTGGGGATGGGTAAGAGATCCAACCAGCTGGCCAGGCGCGGTGGCTCACGCCTGTAATCCCAGCAGTTTGGGAGGCCGAGGCAGGCAGATCATGAGGTCAAGAGATCGAGACCATCCTGGCCACATGGTGAAACCCCATTTCTACTAAAAATACAAAAGTTAGCTGGGCATGGTGGCGTGCGCCTGTAGTCCCAGCTACTTGGGAGGCTGAGACAGGAGAATCACTTGAACCTGGGAGGCAGAGGTTGCAGTGAGCCGAGATCGTGCCACTGCACTCCAACCTGGTGACAGAGTGAGACTCTGTCTCAAAAAAAAGAGATCCAACCAGCCAATCTATCAACTAGCTAGCAATCACAGTCCTCTCCTGGGTTTCGAGTGAAGAGACACAAGGAGAGGGAATAAGCAGCAGCCCTGAGGATAAGAGCTGAGTCACATGGATAGTAGCACGCTAGTAGAAAGACTGGTGAACTCTTGTGGCTTTAACTTCTGTCCCCCCTCACTCCTGATGTTCAGCTTTTCTTGAGTTTCTGCAAAACCACTTTAAACCTTAAAAATGCATACCTTTACATGTTTCCCTTATTCTTTTAAAAATTCCAGGCTGCTTTGAACAAGCTTCTGATCTCTGCCACCAAATGAGCTCTATGTCTAAAGCACTCCTCTCAATGACAATTTCATAGCTTGGGCTTTGATGGGTAACCTGCAGCCCCACTGGCCGCTCCAGCAGATGGTGACCCTGTGGGTGGTAGAGAGGCTTGAAGGATCTAGTGCATCTCAGCTGAAAGTGGCTTGTCTCAAACAGATGTGAGAAGGCCCAGTGTTGAAGGGATTCAGGATCAGGGCAACCTGCTGTCCTCCAGTGGTGCAGCCGCTTGGCCTCTACTGATTTCACTGACCTAAGTGATCATACACAGTGGCCTCTGCCCCTGTGATAGCAATCAATCCAGCCAACCAGATGCACCTGCAGCAGAGCCATAGAATTCCAAACTAGAATAGACTTCAGAACTCCCTTAGTTTGTGGATCAGCTCTACAGCTTCTCTTACGAATGATCATCCCATCCTTTCTTAAATGTGACAGGGCAGCCAATATCAAGATACCCTCACAGAAAGTATGTGGCCCCTAATTTTAATCCAAAGTCTTCCTCCCTCTAAATTCTACCCTTTGATGCTAGTTCTGGACCCTTCAGATATACACAAACATAAAACTCTTTAAAGAATTTAGTCAGTCTACACATTTGGACAAAAGACTCACATCTCCTTTAAAGCTTCCTCTTTCCAGGTGAAATACGCCTAGACCCTCCAGCCATTCCTTCTGCAGCATAATTTTGAATCTCTTCATCATCATAGTCACTTTTTATCAGGCCTGAGTTGGGCTCTGAGTTGACTCTGGGTTTTTCTTCAAACATGTCAGCCATGTGCCCTTGGATGGCATCTGATCAGGGGGAGTAGAGCAGGCCTCTCACCTCCTTTTCCCCTATGCAGGTGACTGCATTCACCTCCGGGGCAATTCCTCTCTTTTAACTGCAGTTGTGTTTGAGCCCACCTTTCCAGTCAGTGGCAGAAGGCTGGCCTGGAGTGACAGCCAGGTTCTGACCTGCCTGTGCCATCCTGGGGCACCAGAGTGGCCAGTAGTGCCTTAGCCACCCTTACAGAGAGTCAGCCCTTGTCAGCTCCACAAGGGATAGTCCCACTCTTACCACAGGCATGGGCCGGAGCCAGGCCCTGATCTCAGCTGGACCAAGGAGACCCCTGCCCTGGTCAGTTAGCTGTGAGGGGCCTCACTGGAAGGCCATTGAGACATGGAAGCTGACCTTGCCTTTTGGGTTGGTCATGAGAGACCAGCGAAGCCTCGTGTTAGTCCATTCTCACACTGCTCTAAAGAAATACCCGAGACTGGGTAATTTATAAAGGAAAGAGGTTTCATTGACTCACAGTTCAGCATGGCTGGGAAGGCCTCAGGAAACTGACAATCATGGCAGAAGGTGAAGAGGAAGCAGACACCTTCTTCACAAGGCAGCAGGACAGAGTGAATGGCGAAAGGGGAAGAGCCCTTTATAAAATCATCAGATCTCGTGAGAACTCACTCACTATCACGAGAACAGCACACTGCCCCCACGATCCAATCACCTCCTACCAGTTTCTGCCCTTGACACGTGGCGATCGTAGGATTACAATTCGAGATGAGATTTGGGTGGGGAACAGAGCCAAACCATATCACCTCATATCCACTGCAGATATGAAGAAGGCTCCCGGAAGCAAAGAAAAGAATCTGCAAGGCCCCACAGAGATAGAAACAGAGAAATTAACCAGCGACTTTTCACTTCCCGAAAGTCCCCACTAACCCTCTTTCAACTGGTTTCCATGAGGTTTCTCTGAAATAAATCCCCTTTTAAATTTAAGACTCTTTGTATGAATGTTGGTTCTGAACAAATAGTCCCTTGACTAAGCCCCTAAGCAAGTCTGTGAACCTTAGTTTTCCTTCTGGATACACTGAATTGAAGTATGGTGGGCTCCTCCCACTCTGCGATTCTATGTCACATCATCCCATGCTACACTTCTGTACTTGGGAGGGCTTTGAGAATAAAAGCCTAAGGGTATAACTTTATACAGAGCCCCTGGTAAATTTCAGCTTGTGTTTTGGTTAATCTTCCAAAACATCTCACATTTTGGAATATGTCTGGGGCTTTGATTAGCAAAAAGTAAATGAAAGAACAATTGAGAGTAGTGGCTTCACACATCTTCTCAGAAACCTATCAAAGGGTTGTCTCTCACATCAGATGAATTGTCCCGGAATTCTATTTATAGATGGCTTAGCAATTCATTCATTCCTCAATTTCACCAGAGGTTAGCTATAGACTGAGGGGGTGCTTTTCTAACTTCAACTGAAATATACATGAGTGGTAGGTACAAAGGTTTTGGTTGGTTACCTGAGAACCAGACACCCACATCTTGAAGGACCATGGAAGTGGACTCTGGTATGAACCCATTGTGAAAGGTCAGATACACCACACAAAGAACTGGTGAAACTCAGATTAGTCAATTTGCCATTTGTTAGCAACACAGGCATAAAGAGTTGGTGGGAAAGGATGTAGGAATTTTGGCTAAAAGAAGCTTTTGGCTTATCTTCAGATTCCAATTATGCAAGGCTATCCCCGTTCCTCATTACCACAGATAAATTAAACATCAGCTTAGAGTTCAACTTGGCAACTTGGAGAAAACAAAGAATATATCTTTGAGGCAAAATGTGGGCTGTATCTATTTGTAGTTCATATGTGCTCCAAAAAGACAGGCAAGCAGAAAGCAAGACTGCCTCTCCCAACTACAGCATTAAATAGCAAAGGCAATGGGAATGTGGGGTATTTCTTGGACACACCATGCTCTGTGGGAAACAGACACTTCTGAAGATACTGTTCAGAGAGGCTTAAGGAAAAGACAAAAAGCGGAAAAAGAAGGAGGAGGCACATGCATTCAGGTCACCTGCAGTTACCATCCACAGACAGCTTTTTGCAGTTGGTTCATCCTGGGTAACTGTCATCTCATGTGAATGAACCGTTGACGTCCATGTCCTTGTGTGTGGTCTTTGACATTAGCCAGAACAACTCCAAATCCCACGTCTGGAATATAGACACCCCTCAGCCCGTTAAGCCCCGCACTCCGCCACCCCATTCTATTAGCTTTCGTTTGACTTCATTTTCTTCCCTTCCCAGTCACTCTATTCTTTTGCTTCAACTGCTCAGCAAGTCCCATCCCTGGGTGAATCCATCGGTCTGCCTCAGTTTCTTCATTCAGAAAATGGGTATAAGTAGAGCTACCCCATGGGTTGGCATGCTGCTGAAATGAGATATGCATGTTAAGGGCATGGCTCCGGGCCTGCAAGCGGCACCCACTCAGCAAATGGCAGTTCTCTACACCCTATGATCTCTCCCTCTCTACCGTATCTTCCCTCTACTTACAAACAGGTTCTTTCTCCTACTTTTGAAAAATCCTTTAAAGCTACAGAACATCCCTCCTTCTCTTCATCACCAAACATCATGAAAGACTCGTGTGCTCACTGCCTCCTCTTCCCTCAGTGTCCACATTCCCACCACCACTGTGGTCTAATTTCAGCCCCATCATTCCCCTTCTCCACCCCCATCCTGCCTTGCCTCCTGACTCTAGTCTCTCAAATGCAAACCCTCAGTGTGATCCCCTATGCTTTCCTTATTTTTTCTCCCTATATCTAGTAGGTCACTAGATTTGGTCAATCCTGTCCCAGAAACATCACCTGGCTTTGCATTTCCACCATCTTAAAGTCAGTTCCCACCTCCCACACCGTCTCGGATCAGGACCATCATGACTTGTCTCCCTGCTCGGTCTTGGCCTCTCAGATCCATCTTCACACCCAACTCTGCTTAAAACTCTCAGGGGTCCTTCATCATCTCCAGGACAATGTCTGAACCCCTAAGCATGGCACATGGGGTCCCGCCTGTGGCCTCACACTTACCCTGCTGGGGTCCATGCACACATGAGTGCAACGCATGACTTCCACACCAGGCCCCGATCCCCTGCCACCCTCCCTCTAGCTAGACCTCCCTTGCCCTTTCACTTTGGATTACACTCCCTGTCCTCCCATAAGACCCAAATCAAGTATCGTTGCCTTGGTAAAGGCTTTCCCAACCGCCTGCTCAGGGGCCCACAGCACTTTGCTGACACTGTAACTTACCTTCGGGAATGTAGCCTCCTCCACTGCAGTAGGCTGCAGATGGTGGGGATCTTAACCAGGGTGACGGCCTCAGCACTTGGCATGGAGTCAGGCTCATAACAGGTGACCAAATACCACATGCTGTGCAATTAATAAAATGAAGGAAGATGCCGGACGCAGTGGCTCAAGCCTGTAATCCTAGCACTTTTGGAGGCTGAGGTGGGTGAATCACTTGAGGCCAGGAGTTCAAGACCAGCCTGTCCAAAATGGTGAAACCCTGTCTTTACTAAAAATATTTAAAAAATTATCCAGGTGTGGTGGTGCATGCTTGTGATCCCAGCTACTCAGGAGGCTGAGACAGAAAAATCGCTTGAACCCAGGAGGCAGAGGTTGCAGTGAGCCGGGATCGCTCCTCTACACTCCAGCCTAAGTGACAGAGTGAGTGAGACTCTGTCTCAAAAAAAAAAAAAAAAAAGAAAGAAAGAAAGAAAGAAAGAAAGAAAGAAATGGGCCAGGCATGGTGGCTCACTCCTGTAATCCTAGCACTTTGGGAGGACAAGGCAGGCAAATTGCCTGGGCTCAGGAGTTTGAGACCAGCCTGGTCAACACAGTGAAACCCCGTCTCTACTAAAATGCAAAAAAAAAAAAAAAAAAGATTAGCCAGGCATGGTGGCATGCACCTGTATTCCCAGCTATTTGGGAGGCTGAGGCAGGAGAACTGCTTGAACCAGAGAAGCGGAGGTTGCAGTGAGCCAAGATTGCGCCAGTGCACTGCACTCCAGCCTGAGTGACAGAGCGAGACTCCATCTCAAAAAAAAAAAGAGGGAAGAAATGCTTTGAGAACCGCTGAACCCAGAGGAGGCCCCATGCCTGTCCCCACAGTGATACTTCACTATAGACATGAGGGCTAGAGAAAGTCCAGAGGCTGCAAAGAAGGTCTAAGTTTGGTTCAGCTAGTGCTTCTCAGCTCACTGAATTGACAGGCTTCATGGAGAGGAAGACTTTGCCCCACATAGAGGTGAGCCACAAGTGTGCACTTATTGCCATGTCTGTTTAGGGCAGGGCCATACGGAGATAAGCATGTCAAAATAAGCCTTGAGAGTCTAGCTAAGCAAGAACTAGGACAGGTTGGAAGAGGGAGGCACAGGACAGAGAAATAGCCCATTCAGCTTTGCAGACACTCCCCTGGTGGGCTGAGCCCTGTGGCCCTAGTGGGTGGAGGTTTCCCAAGACAAATTCCACGAAGGGACTTTGGAAATCCAGAGGCCTGACCTGAAGGCAAACTGGCAAAGCAGTGCATCGCCAAACAGCAGACCTTGTGGTTTACAGCAAAGACCAAAGGGAAGCTTAGGATTTGGAGACCTTCATGGCAAGAGTAATGAAAATAAAATCTGCTCTGCTCAGAGCAGTTCGGAGAGAAACAGGCCCAGCCACATGGAACCAGAACAGATGGGCTGTACAGGAGGGATGTTCATCAGCACTGCTATGGGGGAGGGAACATGCACAGGCTTGCATGTCCCCGTCAGGGATTCTAGGTGACACTATCAACATGTGACAGCTGACACGGAGGTGGCATCAACAGAGGTTAATGGATGACTCAGAGGCATTATTTATTACTGTTATTTTTGCCCTCCCTCACAGTGGTTTATAGAAAGTGCTTTGTCAAGATTTCCAGACCCAGCCATGTACAAATGACATAAGGCAGATTCTCAGGGGAGCCCCTCTCTGACTCAGGGCTGTGAGCTAGCAGGCAGCAGGGAAGCACAAAGCGTTGACTGAGCAGCACCAAATCAAAATGGCAAATGATACTCTGGCCCCTACCACAGCAAGCAGGCAGCCTAAAGCCCAAGGGACTGGAGAGGATGGGTCAGGATGGGTCCTGTACCCATCTGCCGCAAAGGAGCAAGCATTCTTCAAGGTGACCAAACCTGGATTTGTTTAAAAATATCAGCAAGTCAGGTGCCCTAGTAATGGCAGTACATATAAATTACACTTGGAAACATTTGCCAAAGGACTGATCAATCCCATGATTTATTCAGGGTGATCTATATCAGCAAAGATGGTAGAAATTCCAGGCCATTGCACAGAAAGTTTAACATGTGTGGTAGAACTAGGATCTTTCTCTTACTAAAAGGAACGCTCTAACGAGAGTGATACTGCAGCAGTTTTTTCTTTGGATCTATCTATTTACCTACATATCTATTTATTTATCATCTATCTATTGTTGGAGACAGGGTTGGATTGGGCAAGAAGAAAAGGCATTTGCCTGGATGTGCATCAATAGATAATAACAGAAGCTTTCTAGAACCTCAGAATCTTTCCCTTTATTCATGTATTTGCATGTTCTGTTGTTTCTTTCTTTCTGCTGTGTGTGTGTGTGTGTGTGTGTGTGTTTGTGTGTGTGTGTGTGTGACAGAATCTCCCTCTGTCGCCCAGGCTGGAGTGCATTGGTGTGATCTTGGCTGACTGCAACCTCCGCCTTCCAGGTTCAAGCGATTCTCCTGCCTCAGCCTCCTGAATAGCTGAAATTACAGGCGCCTGCCACCATGCCCAGCTAATTTTAATATTTTTTAGTAGAGACGGGGGTTTGCCATGTTGGTCAGGCTGGTCTCGAACTCCTGACCTCAGGTGATCCACCTACCTCGGCCTCCCAACGTGCTGGGGTTATAGGCGTGACCTACCACGTCTGGCCTCTTTCTGCTTACTTTTGAGGCACAGGTCCTTCTTTTGGATTTAGAAACCCAAAGGGGTGAGTGATCACATTATGACTTGGATTTTTAGTTCCCTGAGTCTGAACTTGCCTACTAATATGCTATCATATGCCCAAATTATTTTTGTGCAAAGTTCATCAAGCTTCTCCAGGAACCAAGGGAACCAGAAGATGGGTTTTGTTATCGCTTACAAGCTGACCCTGGAGAAGGTCACTGAGCCACTGGGGTGTTGCTTGAGCTGTAAGTATCTCTGTGGCAAGCTCCAGAAGTCAGTGATATTCTGAGATGGGCATAAGTATCTTGAGAGGAACAAACCCATGCTGAAGTGGGGTGGGGCTCAGGACGTGCTTTCCCTTGGGCACCATGTTGTTAGACCACTTGTAGTGTGGTTGGCCATGTTTCTTTACACCCGCACAGCCTCATGATAAATAGTCACTGCTAGCAGCTACTCTGCACCATCTGGGGCCTGTAGCAGCTGGAAAAGTGATGAGGTAAGGGTGAGTGGCTAGAAGGGAGAAGGGGCCAGAGGGTGTCCAGGCTGCCAAAACCAATCTGAGACGATCATAAGCATGGCCCAGCTTCTTCTTATGAACTGAGTTTTCCTTCATTATGAGCCAAACCCAAATCGTACCCTTTGCAGAACCTACCTATCTATTTGGGGCATGAACTGCATGCACAGCTGTGCTTGTGATAAACAGGTTAGATCTGGAAGATCTCGGAAGAAAACATAATCTGGGCTGATGCAGTCCAGTGGTTTCTCAGCCAAGGGGGTTGGATAGAGGCAAGGCCAGGAGAAGAGGGAACAAAACTTGAGCTCATCGTACCAAAGGGACACAGCCTTAAGGACAGCAGTATTCCAATCACATGATAGCATTACAGGAAACAGTAAATGGAGAAGCCAATGAGAAGGCCTAGGATACTTCTTTGGAAAAACCTAACAAGGCCCTTGAGCCTCAGCCAGGATTATACAAGGCCCGTTCGCACTTGGCTGAAGACTTGACTCTGGGGAGAACTTATGATCAAACACTCCCTGGATATGTGCTCATAGGAATGATGAACATTTCTGATTCTGGAGCTACTCTGGGGCCAAGCAGAGATCCAAGATCCCTTTGGTCTAAGTAAGCAGAACAGGGGTCCTCCCAACCTCCTGGCCCTCATGTGCAGGGAGGTTGTTGTCAGCTCATGACTTCAAGTTGGCTGCACCAAGCTTCTCATGACAGTCTGGAGAGCTCGTCTCGGTGTTACAGGCAGTAGTCATCGCAGCTGGGTTATGAGAGGGTAACAGAGTCAGGGAAGAATTTAGGGCACTGGGAGGAATTAAAAGATAGGCTTCATCAGAGTCACCAGCGCTTTCCTGCTTTTAGGATATGTAATTACAATGTCTGTATTCAGTTAAAGATCCAGCTTCCTGTACTGACTCAATCCACAATAGCCCTTCCCTCTGGCTGCATTTCTATAGTACATGCATTGCCTTGAATCGTTCCTGAATATTTCCTGTACATACCACACTCTTTTCATTTTATTGTATTTCATTTTATTGACAGAGTCTTGCTCTGCCACCCAGGATTTAGTGCAGTGGCATGATCATAGCTCAGGGCAGCCTCAAACTCCTGGACTCTCATGATCCTCCCATCTCAGCCTCTTGAGTAGCTAGAACTACAGGTGCACATCACTACACCTGGCTAATTTTTTTTCTTATTTTTAGTAGAGGTGGGGTCTCCCTATGTTGCCCAGGCTGGTCTCGGACTCTTGGCTTCTAGAAATTCATGCGCCTTAGCCTCCCAAAGTGTTGGGATTACAGGCATAAGCTCACCGTGCCTGGCCTCTTTTTATTTTAATAATCCTATTATCTCTCTTGCTATGTGCCTGTAATGGAATTTGAAGAGAAGTAAATAATAGTTCTTGTCATAAAGGAGTTTATAGTCCAGTGAAAGAAATGGGTGCATAAATAATAGCATCACTAAGGAAGAGCAGAGACGGAGCCTTGGGGGCTAGATTGGCCAGTGGGGTTCACAGGCGTAGGAACTGGACTAGGATGTTTTTCACCAGAGACCATGGGTGTGATTTTATACCAAAAGCCGGAAGTATAGGACAGATGAGGCATTATTGTGGAAAATCATATAGAAATCTAAAACCAATGAAGCTAAAGTGGCCAGAAATTGGAAATAAAGGGGTGGGGAACAAAGGATAGGAGACCTGGAGCTGGGAACAGTGAAGAGGGGGCTGGAGCTCCTGCCTAAAAGAGCTGGTGTTCACAGCTTTTGGGGGCCACCAGGAAAAAGTATGTGGGTCAGCTGGACTTGAGGGATCAGGGATAGAGTGACAAGAGGAAAGAGATTTAAGGGATGCTTACGAAGCAATTGGATAGCAGGCATGAAAGAGAAGGAGGCACTCAAGATAATCCTGAGGTTCTAGCTGAAGGCTGCCCGGGAGATCATGATGATCACATAAACTGTTACAGAAGCAAGCTTGAGGGGGAAGGGGATGAGTCCATTTGGGTCATGTTTATTAAAGGTTTTCAAGGGACATCCAGGTAGACTCACTGCTTGATAGGTAGTTGGAAATACAGTTTCTGCACCCCTAAGGTTTAAGTCAAGACTGGAAATCTGCCTCTGGGAGTTGTCAGCCAGGGGAAGCAAACGATGTTTGCTCAGAGAAAGTGAAGAGCTGGTCCCAAGACTGAAACTCAGAGATCATCACATCCCAAGAGCAGGCATGAGCACAGGAGCCATCCCGGTGCTGGCAGAAGCTGAGCCGGAACAATGGCGGAACACTGAACCGTAGCAATGTGGAGGATGGGAAAGTAGGGACAGTGAATGCAGCCTTTTTATAAAATGAAGATTGGTGCCAAAGGGAAGGGGTGAAGTGGAGCAGTAGTTTGAGAGGAAGGCAGAGTTGCTGACACATTTTTGAGAATCATCAGGGTCTAGTCATGTTTGCAGGACATGGAAAAGGGGCGCCAGATGAGGAGACAGGATTGAGGGCTGAAGATAGAGCTGCGCTCACAGAGGGCTGGAGGTCTCAAAGGAGGGGCAGGGAGGAGTCAGGTGGCAAGGTAGCCTCTAAAGAGCTTCCACCCTTCTGTCTCTAAGGTGAAAGATGGATAGAAGCTGGGTGAAGTGGTGGAGCTACCAGGCAACAAAACACAACCCTGCTCTTGGGAGTGTGTGTGTGTGTGTGTGTGTGTGTGTGTGTGTACGCGCACATATGCGTGTATGTAATGCAAACCATGCTATCTTGCACTTAGGGGTCAGTCTCTCTACGTGTTTCGACCATGGCCATTTCCTCTCCCTTAGACAGCAATCTCATTGAAGGCACGAACTGTGGCTTCAGCTTCTTTTGTCGTCCCAATAGCACAAAGTGCAAGAATTGAGTGAGTCGTGGATGCACCTGACCCTGATCATCATTGATTGCCTTCTGTCTCTCAGATGACCTAGGTAAGTCTTTAAGAAGCATGGAGTATCAGGACTCATCATCTTTTGAGAGCTGGGCTCTGCCTTTGAAAGTTATTTGTATCATCCTGGCACATCTTGCAAGCATTAATTTAATAGGAAGAAGTTGGGGAGAGAAACCCAACATAGAGTTGAAACCTAACAATAGTCACTTGGTGGAAAGAGAGGATATTTAAAAAAAGCAAAGACAGTTTTCTTTCCTCTAAGTTGCTATCTTCGTTAGAGTCAGATTGAGCTGGAAGGTCCCAAGATAGTAATTTGATACATTTGCTGTTTTAGCTTCCTTCTAGGTCTCTTTATCAGACACAACAGGGCACCCAATACACTCCCCATAAACATGGGATAAAGCAAGCTTGAGAGTCATCACTAACCAAGCAAAGGGCAGCATGGTGTGGGCTTCATTACCAGGTTCAGTAGGCTTTTGCCTATAATCCCAGTTAGATGTTTGACATGGACCTGGTAGGACATTTCCTCTGTGTCACCCCTTGTCCTCAGCTCTGCTCTTCCTGGACACTCACAGCATTTTAAGTTCACCCTCACCATGTTAAGCACTTGATTATAGTTCATTTAGCACTTTCATGGTGCTTCCTATGGCATAGTACAGTTATTGATGCTCACACATATCTTATCTCCTTCTCAAATCAAACCCTAAGTTCATGGAGAGTGAGGTCCATGACTGGTTCATCTTTATATTCCCATTATACTGAACAGATTAGACATTGAATAAATATTTGTTCTTGAATTATTAATGATTCACTGTTTCATGTGTTATTAGACTTCCTTGAACCACAGCTTTCTTATCTATCAGATGAGGAAGCTGAACTAGATTCTACAAAGTCCTCCTCACTGAAACTTGCGAGTATTTTATGATTCTCCTTCCTGTGCTGACTTCACGTACACTAGAGGCTCATTCGTAAGTGTGAAGCAATGTCTTTAGCCCTCTGTTAGGATATAGGCATTTAAAATTTAAAATCTAGATGGGGAGACAGGAATAACTCACATGAAAATAGCCCAAAATATGACAAGTTATGTACACTGAAGTCTGAATTGTGTGATAGACCCTAGAGATGACAGCACAAGAAGAAAACTGATGCCAGATGTGTAAGTTTGGGTGGTAAACCTTCAGGAAGCCTCTGTTATCACTCAAAACACCCTGGAAAGAACATCATTTTAAATGGTATCTAATACAATTTAGCTAATTGGTATTGAGGGAAAAGAAGAGGGAGGAATCAGAGATCTAATTTCTTCCTCAACAGTGAGTAGAAATAGGACTGTTGTGTTTTGTTGGGGGAATGGAAAAGGGTTGACCTGGAGAGAGTCAGGGAATGCAGTTGGGTGTCTTGGAGGTCGTGAATAGCCTGAATTGCAAGAAAATACTGGGCCCTTGTGGGGACACAAAAAGGGCCAGGCATGGGGGAGAAAAGGAGAGTGAGAGGGTACTACTGAGGGCAAACTTCTGCCTGGCTCTGCTAAGGAGAAGCCTCATGGACAAGGCTGGAAAGAGAATGAGGAGTACTGATTTGCAATGTGGAGCAATGAAGCGGGCTAGTGTCTTGTCCATGTAAGATGTGTAAGCACTTTTTTTTTTGAGACAGAATCTCGCTCTGTTGCCCAGACTGGAGTGCAGTGGCGCGATCTCAGCTCACTGCAAGCTCCGCCTCCCAGGTTCACACCATTCTCCTGCCTCAGCCTCCCAAGTAGCTGGGACTACAGGCACTTGCCACCATGCCCAGCTAATTTTTTTTTTTTTGTATTTTTAGTAGAGACGGGGTTTCACCGTGTTAGCCAGGATGGTCTCAATCTTCTGACCTCATGATCTGCCCACCTCAGCCTCCCAAAGTGCTGCAGTTACAGGCGTCAGCTACCGTGCCAGACCAAGATGTGTAAGCACTTTCTGTGCCACAGGTCAATGAAATGAGCATATGGATATAGAAGGGGTAAGGGAGTCCATTTCCCTCCACCAGCAGAGTCAAAGGCTTCTATCCCCTCCTTCCTACATATGCTTCCCAAGAGTGGACTTGAGTAAGCCCCAAGGAAAGCATTTTAGGGTAGGGTGATTATGTGCCCCATGGCTTCCCGGCCCTGGGAATCTGAGTGAGTGTTCACTTCCATGTCAGTTTAATCACATCCAAACCCCTTGTGGAGCTTTAAAAGGGAGATTCAACTGGGGTAACCCCAAGAGGAAGCCCCAAGAGAGCCTATGAGAGGGCAAGAGACTTCTTTATTAGCAGGAGGATCTTCTCTTGGGGCCTTTTTCTCTTCATTATCAGGAAGCACTAGTTTCATTTTTCCCAAACCTGAGAGATTTAAAATAGGAATGCATGAGGCCACTTTCTAGGTTTTGCAGAGCTCAAACCTCAATACTTGTCAACACTGGTAGTGTGAACAGTGGTGCCAGGGACTCAGTTGTTAGCATCATGAGACCTCCTCAGGCCCCTGAGCTAAGCCCACTACCTCAGACCCCCCGCTCTACAATCTGGGTTCTTGGGAGCATTTCTTCCTGGGGTGTGTGTGTTTTAATAGTCCATTTGAAGTGCCCTTTTCATTCCTCGCAATCTCCCCTTGCTGGCAATCATTCCCCAGTAACAGCATAGGAAGGAAGGGCAAAAACCGTGAGGCCATGAGCTCCTTACCGGGGCCCAGGATGCAGGTTTGCAGGAGGCTCAAAACCCTGTTCCAACCCCACAGGGTGGCTCTTGCCCTAGGAAAGGAAAAGACTCAGGGACAGAGGGAAACCCCAGAGGTAAACCAGTAACTTTCCCTTCAGCTCAGTCTGCTCTCTCCTGCTCTGCCTATGGCCAGTGATCATTTCCTTAAGTCACTTGCAACATTAAGGAACTGCCCTTGAATCTTGGCCTAGGGCTTGCATTGGGTTCGGTCCCACTTCAGAGGTTCAGTTTGAAGTGCTCAAGTATTGAAAGCTTCCTCTTTGCAGTTCATTCCAATCATGAGTCAAGTTCTCTTCAATCCTGCAAATATTTAGATTTGGGGCCAGGCCAAAATATATATGTCAAAATCACAAAGGCTAATAGTTTCAATGGACTTGCAGTGCAATGAAGGAAACATGCTCATTAAAATGGCAATACCTAATAATTAATACTTCATTAATTTATTCAACAAATATTCTGCTGCAACACAGGTGGTCTCTGTCTCACAAAGCTCACACTCTAGCTAGGAGGTGGTCATAACTGAAGTCAACAAAGAAAGACAGAGAACAATGACTAAATGCTGTGGTCTGAATTTTTGTGTCCCCCCAAAATTCATATGTTGAAATTCTCACCTGCAAGGTGATGTGTATTAGTCCGTTTTCACACTGCTGATAAAGACATACTTGAGACTGGGCAACTTACAAAAGAAAGAGGTTTAATGGACTCACAGTTCCACATGGCTGGGGAGGCCTCATAATCACGGTGGAAGGTGAAAGACACTTCTCACATGGCAGTGGACAAGAGAAGAGAACTTGTGCGGGAAACTCCCCTTTATAAAACCATCAGATCTCGTGAGACTTATTCACTATCACGAGAACAGCACTAGAAAGACCCACCCCCATGATTCAATTACCTCCTACCTGGTCCCTCCCATGACACATGGGAATTGTGGGGGCTATAATTCAGGAAGAGATTTGGGTGGGGACACAGCAAAAACCATATGGTCATGGTATTAGAAGGTGGGGCTTTAGGAGGTGATTAGGTCATGAATGTGGAGCCTTCTTGAATGGGATTAGCACCCTTATAAAAGGGACCCAGAGAACTCCCTCACCCCTTCTATCATGTGACAATGAAGTGAGAAGGCACCACCTATGAACCAGGAAGTGGGTCTTCACCAGACGTTAGATTAGCCAGTACATTTACCTTGGACTTCCCAGCCTGCAGAACAGTGAGAAATACATCTCTGTTGTTTACAAGCTGCCCCCTCTATGTGTTTTGTTATAGCAGCATATATGGACTTAGACTAGCCTTGTTATAATGAGACAATGGTGAGAACCTCTTTTGGAGAGGAAGGTGTGGAAGGCCTGTCTGAGGAGACGACATTTAAGCAGAGATCTGGAAGATACACAGTGAGAATTCCAGGGAAAGAGAGGAGGGAATCATTTGTGCAAAGGACCTGAGGCAAGAGGAAAGACCTGAGGCAGTTCCAGGAAGTGCCAGGAGGCCGATGGTGCTAGAAGGAAGAGGAGCATGGTGAGAGTGAGGTCAGAGATGAGCCAGTAGGGCAGGCATGTGGCCACCAAAGAATGTGAACTCATTCTAAACTCGTTGGGACGTGAACTGGTGACGTGCCTGGAGCTAAGATGGCTCTGGCCCTGTGTGGAGAATGGGTTGAAGGAACACAGACGCAGCAGCAGAACCGGTGAGTTTTGCCTCAGGGAAATTCACATTCAAGGGGACAATCATCTCAGTCTGAAGGGTACCCGGGAGTTTGACAGGTGAAGAGACCTCTTTCAGGCAGAGGGAACAAAATAAGCCACAGTAAGTATGCTTGGACCTGCATAGAAGTAGAAGGAAGATGAGGGGTGACTGAAAGGAAGAGCAGTCAAAGATGAGGCGGGGAAGCAAGCCGACTGGGTGTCAGGAGCAGGCTCAGGGACTTGGGCTTGGCCGGTGAGCAGTCAAGGTGCACAGAGCTGTTCCTGGGTAGCGCCTCTCATGGTGCCGCTGACTCCACCGGGGTGACCGCTGTGCCCGGGGCTGCTGGTCAGGATGCAAAAGCACTTTAGAGTGAAGGTCACCTCAGGCAACAGGCAAAACAGACGGGGCTGAAGTGAGCGCCTTTCGCCACTTGAGCCCTGAAGTGTCCCAGTGCCCTGCACAGTTGCTAGGAGACACCCATGCAAGCAGGGGCTCAGGAGGGGGTACAGGAGGCACCAGGCTCAGGCCTCCCTCAGGCTCCAGTACTTCCTTCTCTGCAAAGCCTCTTTGCCAGCCTCAGGCCTCCCTCAGGCTCCAGTACTTCCTTCTCTGCAAAGCCTCTTTGCCAGCCTCAGGCCTCCAGGGCCTTCTCTGAGCAACTGTTGCTCAGAGAGAATTCAGTTTTGCTCTTATTACCAGCCACCCGGCATGCGGATCTTGCTAGTCACCACTGTCCTCAGATACTGGGCTCAGGCTGGGCCTACACTGGGACGTGGAGCCTGCCCTGCCCAGCCCCACCCCAGCCATCTGTTGGCCTCAGATGATTTGTGTGATGGTGACAGTCAGCCCCAGGGAGTCTTGTCCAGGGCCAGGGGAAATGCAGGGCACCACAGGTTCTGCTCCAGGACAGGCCTGTGCTGAGGGTCTGGGCAGAGGTAGAAGCAACTGCTTTCTAGAAGGCATAAGCGCTCAGCTCAGTATGACCCATAAAGCTGGGATGAGGAACAGCCTCTCATATCTAAGCCAGACACAGCACTGCTCCAGGCCAGTGCCTCAAGGAAGGATGGCCATTGGGCCCCTCCAAGAGGCAGTTTTGAGGAGCCCTGGGTGGGGATCCCCACTCTTCACATACAATAGCATTCATTTGGAGGGCACCAGATACAGGAACAGTGGTGGAGATTTCATGAACAAGCGGCGTCAACAAGGGGCTGCAGGAGAGAGGTGTGTGAACACATATGAACCACCTGCTGGAAGCTCCCAGAATCATATGGGCGGGGCAGTGGGGGAGGGGAGGACTCAGTGGGATGCCATAGGTCCTGGGTCAGTCAACAGGAGCAAGGGTGCTACAGCTATTACCATCACTGTGAGACCTTGGACGAGCTAAGTAAAATGTGCTCCTCTAGAGTTCAGGGACCCCTCACCTTGTACCGACGGCAATGTCACCTCTAAGATGTCCCAGAATAGCTCCAATTCCAATATCACATGCATGAGTGTTCCTATATGTATGTTCATTTGTTAGACACCATTTTTCATTCATTGGATTAAAAATTGTTTACTATACCTCCTTCTATTTTATTTATTAATTTCGCTCACTTATATAGCACAATGTCTTGCACAGAAAAGACATTGAATACATATCTGCTAAGTGATTGACTAATGGAATCATAGAAATACCTTTCAGATGAATGATGGAAGGTTTGTTTTTTAAAAGCAACTTGGCACATTGCATTTGGTTCATAGTCACCTAGCAGCCTCAGCTCAGCTGTAGAGTGAGTGAGAGAGCTGTGTTTGACAAAGGGTGAGATGCCGTCGCATAGCTTGAAATCCAGTCCACACAGAGCCAGTCTTTGGAGTGCGTCCCCGAAGCCAGGCCATAGCACAGCCAATACACTGGGCACACACAAAGCACAGGCCCAGCTTCATAGATTTTTCTCTTTCAATTTCCAAGGCTGATTTAAAGACTGACTCTAGTGAATCAGGGTCATGGTGAAAGACTAGGGAAAGAATGAAGTCGAGATAATCCATTTTTAGCAGTCAATGTCAAAGTTTTATCCCTTTGGCTGGGTCTGGTTTAATCAATAGTTAAGAATTTGGTTAACTGCTAATGAGTAATTTATATGTTTTTGTAAGAAATGTATGAGAGAAATAGAAATGGAAAGAGTGGCTCTGGAAGGTTAAAGACAATAAACTTCCTGATAAGGCTGAAGAATCTTTCCTTGGACTCCAGTTCAGTTAATGGCATCTCCCTCCACTCAGTTATTAAATTGGAATCTGTGAGTCATCCTGGACCATCCTCCTCCTCCTTCTTCCCCCAATCTCGTTGTTCATCAAATTCTACTGATTTTCCCACGTATTTACCTAATCTCTCTCCTCCTCTCTGTAATACTGAGGAAATGGCAGTACCTACTTCATAAGGTGGTGGTGAGAGTGAAATGCTAAGGCAATAAAGTGTCAAGCACAGTGAACAGCACCACCAATAAATGTTACTGAATATTCCTTTTTTTTTTTTTTTGAGATGAAGTCTCACTCTGTCTCCCAGGCTGGAGTGCAGTGGTGCAATCATAGCTCACTGCAGCCTCAAACTCCTGGGCTACAGGGCTTCTCCCATCTCAGCCTCCCAAGTAGCTAGGACTATAGACATGAACTACCACACCTGGCTAATTTTTTATTTCTTTAGAGGTGGTATCGCACTATGTTGCCCAGGCTGGTCACAAACTCTCGGCCTTAAGCGGTCCTCCTGCCTAGGCCTGATCCCAAAGTGCTGGGATTATAGATGTGAGCCACCACACCTGGCCTAAGAAAGACTCTAATCTACTATCAGGAGCTCAAAACAGTCATGATTTATGTTAGAAAGATAAGAAAAGGTAAACATTTCTTAACCTTTGATGTTGTAAACAGATACAGTACCTATACCTTGCTGTTGTGATCAAAATTAAAATCCACTAGACTGGGCGTGGTGGCTCATGCCTGTAATCCCAGCACTTTGGGAGGCTGAGGCAGGTGGATCACGAGGTCAAGAGATCGAGACCAGCCAGGCCAACATGGTGAAACCCCGTCTCTACTAAAAATACAAAAATCAGCTGGGTGTGGTGGCACGTGCCTGTACTCCCAGCTACTTGGGAGGCTGAGGCAGGAGAATTGCTTGAACCCGGAGGGACGGAGGTTACAGTGAGCCAAGATCACACCAGTGCACTCCAGCCTGGGCAGCTGAGTGAGACTCCGTCTCAAAAAACAAAAAAAAAAATCCACTAAAAAATCATTAAATTTTGAGTCATTTGTTAGTCTATATGCATTTTCTGATTCAATGGTTCTTAAAGTACCATGACAACTACTACTACTACTACAAGACGGTCTGAAATAATTTTGTTTTTTCTTATTAAATATAGGTCCTCATCCTTGAACCAGGTGAGAACTTCTAGCTTACTGGGTAAAGTCCAATTAACGTGGTGCAGAATTCCATCCATGGCAGGGCTCCTGCTGTCTCCAGCCTCATCTCCAGGCACACCCTGCACCCTTGAGAAGACAATGCTTCCGTGTCCACCAGTTCATTCCTTCCAGACACATCCCAGTGGTGTCTAGCTCAGGTCTCAGCTCCTGGAAAGGGACAAGGACGCCCCAGAGTCTGCTTTTTTGACACTTACCTTCTGGTCCCCCTGAAAAATCATGCTGCATCACGCCTGCACATTGTCCTTTCTGCGGAAATGTCCTGTCTCCCCATCTCTATCTGCCAAAGACCCACGCATAATGCAAACAATTCAGGTTTCACCCTTTGCAGTGAACTTTGTACAGCTCTCCCAGGTAAGTGGGCTCCCTGTACTGGTTCCTTGCCCATGCCTCTCTCGTGTCACTCCCCAGCTGGTAGGGCAATAGTCCTTGATCTGTCAGAACTCCTGGTTGAAGTGTAGGTATCACCTACACACAGTAAGGCTCCTTAGTGTTATGAAAACCCACTCATATGCTGGCACAGAACTCTCTCTTCCCCCAGCAATTGATCCAGCAATTCTCAATCCAGGCTGCACACTAAAGTCATCTGGGGAGCTTTTTAAAAAGCACCACTGCCAGGTTTCCTCCCCAGATAATCCAGTTTAATGGGTCTTGGGTGGGGCCCAAGCATAGGTATTATTTACAGGTTCCCTAAGTGAGGCTACTGGACAGCAGGAGTTGAGAAAAACTCATACAGAGGTACAAAAATAAAGGCTGGATGATGCGGCCCTTCAGGAAGCTCCTGCACATCTCACCGGCATATCGAGGGCATGAACTAGGTCATGGGGACGAGGCAGAATCTCACAGGCACCTCCCTGATGAAAGTGGCGCGAAGCACTGCCTTGCAGCGTCGCTCTGGGGCCTGTCGTTTGCCTGGGTCTAGCTTAGCAAGGGCAATGGCAAGAAGGGGTTTGGGAGTTAACAGACTGTTTCATTCCAAGGGTCAAGAGTTGGTGGTTGGTAGCAGTGAGTGGGTCTATATTAGCCTCCTTGCTGGAAGGAGGGCCGGTAACGTTGTCCCCATATTTGCCATCTGAGCGGACACTTCTGGAATATTCCAAGATGTGCCAATCCTTGGCCCTTGGAATTAATAGTCTCCTGACTCCCAAACCCCTTCTTGCCATTGCCCTTGCTAAGCTAGACCCAGGCAAAAGACAAACCCCAGAGCAACAGTGCGAGGCGGTGCTCCACGCTCCATCTCAGAGCAGAGCAACCTTAGGACCCCATTTCAGAATCCCCTCAATGAAGTGTATGGTGGAAGGGCCTGATTCGTGTCATGAGAGGTAACAACACCACTACCAACATCCTGCTTCTCGTCCCCCAGCCCCTGCAAGGGTGCAGTGTGGCTACAGGGGGTGTCTCTGCAGTGATTCCTCCCTTTACAGGGAATGAGTCAGGTCCTCTGAAGAAAAGGTGTAAAAAGAAAAAAGAGTGTGTTGTCAATACTTCAAAGCCTCAGCCAGCATCATCTGATCTAGGAAAGGTGTGATGGGGTAGGATAATCGATCGCTGCTTAATTTCCACTGGTTTCTGCAGGGTGCAGACCAGGAAATTAGACATTGGGCCTTCCCAGCAGGTCAAGAAACCCATGTCAGATACAGCAAAATCAGCCTCTGTGGCCAGGGGACAGAGGCGTGTGGCGTCTACAAGAAACAAAGAACACAAAGGTTTCCAAGACCATACTCTGAAATCTCTGCTCCTTAGAACAGACTCTAAGCTACTACAGAAAAACCACAAGGAAGTTTTCCATCTGCTTTTTTCCCCTAGTATCTTCTCCCTATCTCAAAAACAAAAAAACAAAACAAAACAAAACTTTAAAAATCCATGAAGCATTAGCTATTTTTAGAAATTTTAACTTTTCTATTATCTAACAATACATATTTCCTGAGCATTTTAAGTCCATTTTAATTTTGTGTACTATTTAATGGTAAATCGTGGTATATATCCTCAACATAATACTTCATATCCTTGCAGTCCGATTATTCAGTCAGCCTTCACTTCTTCAGATTAAACAATATAACTTCAATTTGCATATGTTCTCCAGGTTATTGCAAAATAAACCTGTTTCAGTGCATTTGAAGTATAGAACAGTGATCATTTTAAATCACACTCAATTGCCCAGCTTTTCATTTGAATAAAATTCAGGTACCGTTTAGTTCACAAAGATAATTTTACTTCAAGATTTACAGTCGTGCCTCTCATCTAAAGCAATCTTCCTCACCCTCTCCCCGGCACTATTTCTCACCAGCCCTCAAACCCACAAGGCCTCATTCAAAAATGATGAATCAAGAAGAAAATATAATGTAAATAGCTGCTGTATTAGAAAAATGCACTGGGAATCTTTGAAAGCCAGGGAGAATATATTAATATTCTATATTTCTTTTATCATACCAAAAAAAAAAAAAAAGGCAGGCTATGCCTTAGAGCAAGGCTGCAACAGTGTGTCCCATGTAGGAAAGATATTTGCAAGGCCGTCTGGCCTAAATGCTCACCATTAACCAAAGCAGGAGCTCTGGGAAGCTCCTGGGAAGTCCAGCCATGTGGGGCCACCAAAACATAATGGAAAATGCCCACCACACACTACACGCTTCTTCATTACATTGGCTCAATACTGAGAATGACCGCACAGGACAGCCCTCTTGCATGACACTAAGGTTTTGTAGGTGAACTGCCACCTGTTAGATTTCCACTTCCTTTGTTCTCCTACAGTGAGGTCTTTGTCCTGAGTTGAGGGGAGGACAGATTTTGGTGGGAAGATGATCTGAGTTTAAAGGGGCTCTGAGAGATCCACATGCAGCTGTCTAGTAGGTTAATGGGAATACCCATCCAACACTCTGGAAAGAGGTCCTTGCTGGAGATGGAAATCTAGGGTCCTTCACATTGGCATGGTTGTTGGAACCACGGCTGGGTCAGAGTTGTTGAGGAGCACAGACCTCTGAAGGGGGAAGAACAAGGAACCTTGGGAGCACCGATAATTGCTGGATACACGAGCTCTGCGACAGGAAGGCAAGCATAAGGCTGTCATGCCATAAAAACTAAGGCAAGAGAGAGTTTCCATGCGAGGGAGGGGTCACACGAACTGAATACAGTCCAAAGGACTGTAGGCAGTGGATGATACTATTTAGGAGGTCTAAATATAGCTCTAGTAATCTCAGCAAGAATAAGTTACAATGAAACAATTACGGGTAAGGGAGAAGCTAGCTAGATTTCACTGGACTAAAAAGGAGTAAGAAAGGAGTGGCTGGGCACCATGGCTCACGTCTGTAATCCCAGCACTTTGGAAGGCTGAGGCAGGCGGGTCACGAGGTCAACAGATCGAGACCATCCGGGTGAACATAGTGAAACCCTGTTTCTACTAAAAATAGAAAAACTAGCTGGGCGTGGTAGCGCATGCCTGTAATCCCAGCTACTCGGGAGGCTGAGGCAGGAGAATCACTTGAACCCGGGAGGCAGAGGTTGCAGTGAGCCGAGATCATGCCATTATTGCACTCCAGCCTGGCGACAGCTAGAGACTCTGTCTCAAGAAAAGAAAAAAAAAGAAAGAAAGAAAGGAGTAAATGGTGCCAGCAAGATAGCTACATAGAATGGAAAGAGCAGGGAGGGCCGTGTGGACACTTAGCTCCTCTGTCTGCAGGTTGTACAACTTCAATCGTCCGGCAGGCCCGTGAGCACCTTCGGTGTGACAGTCTGTTCAGCACTGGGGCTATAAAGATAAACAAGACAAAGTCCATGTGCTCAAAGAGCTCTCCGTCTGTGATCCCAGAGAGACATCTGGACAGAGACGTCAAAATACAAAACAATAAATTCTGGACAGAGCAGTGTTTAGCATGAATCGTGATCTGGAGGACAAAGACACAGTCCTTGCTGTCACGGAGCTCACCATTGAGGGATGCCCACAGGCAGCTGAAATACAGCGGAAGTGATAAATCTTTAACAGAGGGTGTTTTACTCGGGGCACCCAGAAAAAAATGAAATTTTAACTGCAGATTCAGGAAGTTATCCATGAAAAGGCGGCAGTTGATTCCAAACTCCAACAATGCGCTGTCAAGGCTCATGGGCTGGCTGAGACCGTCACTTCAGGCAGAGGATGTAGCGTTCTGAGGGGAAGAAAAAGTTTTAAAAAGAAACTTCCAGAGACACTGTCTTGATGCAAGGAGTAAACATAAAGTACAAATCTGGAACACAGCGTCAGACTTATTAGGAAAGTTACTCGGATCAGGGCCTCTGAAATCACCCAGACCCGAGCTCCGTAACTGCTCTGGTATAGAGCTGGGCTCTGTGCTATGGAGACAGTACTGACATTTCATCTTCCCGAGGCACGTCCCCTGGCTCCGTGATGTGGCCGTACAACAAGCCTGCCCTTTGTTACGGTGTGTGCACACATGTAAGTGCTCTCGACAAATCTGTGTTCCTGCCTCTCCTCCAGTGCTTCTCAGGCAACGACGTTACCCTTGGCCTCAAGGAAAAAAAACAGACACCGTTGGTTGGAGATTACTGAGTAAACCTACAACGTCCTCATGCTTAAGGCCCCGTCTGTGATTCCACCATGAAGGTCACATATCCTCTCTCCTAAAAAGACCTCATGTCTCCATTTAAGTATTTGTTTGGGAAAATGCTGTATTGTATTGAAATTATTGTATAAAGATAGGGCCTTGGTACAAAATCTAGGAATGTGAGGTTTAAACACAGTTGGATAAATTTTTAAAAATCACATTGCAAATTTTAATTAAGGCGAGGGAGCTTAATTTAAACAAATAAATGATTAGTGTTGACTACCAGAGTATAAACAAGACTGTAGTTTTAAAATGTAATCAGCGTTCTCCCCATTTTCAGACATTATCCTGGTCTGAATTCCTCACCCTGTCCTCTCTTTGCAACACGAGGCACAGTGAGCTGTGGTCTGGACTGTTTTTGCAGCCCCTCTTTGGCGACAACAGGGTAGAACCCACAGCCATCAAATCAGCCTCTAGGTTGGCCCAAAACATCACAGTGGCCTGGACATGATGGAGTATTTCCAGGCACATAGAAACTTGGCCTTTATTCTTCCGGGTTGTAAATCTGGCACCTCTCAGGATCAGTAAATAAGCTTTTTTAAAAGCCCAAACAAACCATAAGGAAATCCTGCATTCTGAAACAAAAGGTATGAAAGCTAAGTCAAGACCCACACTGCCATTGTGTCACTTGCCAGGATGTGAGCTGCTGCCTTGGGAGAAAGATAACATGAAAGAGGCTATAATTGCAGGGCTGAGACTCCAGGTCCCATGAAAACAGGATAAAAAATAGCAAGCAAGAAGTGTTCCCTGAGCTTTCAGCTGGGCTAGGGTGGGGAAAAAAATCAAAAGAGCAACACTCTCCTGAAGTTGTTCAAGAAATGGAGACACAGGGGGAGGAGAATGAGAAAGAACACCAAGGCCAAGTTAACGTGTTTAGGAAAAATATGGGGGCAGGAGAGAAAAAAAAAAAAGGCGGAATGATTTAATGCCAGCCAAAGTAACTAAGGGGAAGAAGGTGTGTTTTTATAAACATGTTTGCTTTTGTGTGTGTGTGTGTGTGTGTGTGTGTGTGTGTGTGTGCCGGGGGAAAAGTGTGGAAAAAGAGAAACTAGGTCCATTAATGAAGGAGTAGGGTGTTGCAAGGGAAATGACTAAATTAGCTGAGCTTTTAAACTGCTTTTAAAAAATTAGCTTAAATGAGAAAAATAAAGATAAGAGGTAAGAATGATTGGGAGGATGCAGTCAATAAACTATTGATAAGGAAGGGTTAAAGGAGTATTTAGAGAAATTGAAGATATGCAAATGAGAGGTCAAAATAACAGTAGCCCAGTGTAGTTAGTGGAACTAGCTGAAGAATTTGGAACACCACGGCGGGACTTCATAACCACTCAGTCTACAGGGAGTACTAAGAACACATTCTAACATTGTACAGCACCTTATACTAACATTGTGCATGATAAATGCATTCATTGTTCTCACATTCTTACATTCATCTGAGTCTGGTCTTTACCTCCACTATCAGCAGCAATGTGATAGGACTGACCAAAGCGAAAGATGTTTAAAACTCTTTTTGGTATGAAACAGAAGCAAAATCACTTCTCTCGGTAATAAAGAAGGACATTGAGGCATTGAGTAGTCAAAGGAATTGCTGAAGATGAAACACCAAGTCAGTGACTAAGTTCTGACCCATTTTTAAGAATTCAGACATATTCCCCCAAAAAGAAAGAATGTATTTAACGCAGGTTTTCAGATAGGGAGTCCCACTAGCGCTAGGAACCATTTCAGAGGTAGACCTTGCCTGCATTCCTAACGTGACTATTGCTGTAGTTAATTTTCCCCATTTGCCTACTCCAAGTTACACTTAGCCAATGGCACAGCTTAAAATCGGAACACCAAACCACTCTTTCAACCCTTACCCCGAGCAAATGTCAGAAGGCCTCCAGCTATTCTTTGTGAATTGCAAAATGAACCAGTGTCTGCCCCTTTACCCTTCCAGAGCCGTGGAGTCTAGGTCTATGCCCAAGAGAGATGCATGAAATGTTTTACTGGTTTCTGCAAATAAGCCAGACCAAGGGAGAAACAGACCTTCAGCAAGTAGTAACCAAATGCAAGTTTTGAGAATGTGGAGGGAGAGGAGGTAAGGTTAATGAACACCCCTATACATCTTTTCAGTGTCTCTTGCTGAATTACCCAGCCCTGAGCTAACACCTTGCTGAATCACCCAGTCCTGATGCAGGTTTATGCTGTGTCCTGAATTGGTCTCTGGTGTCCCTTTCAGCTTCTGCCCCTGCAAACTGGGCAGTGCATCCAAGGTCTCCTGCTAACATCTGTCACTCATCGGAGCCACCTGATCTGAAGCGTTGTCAGGGTCAGTATTTTTGTTCTGCCTGCTGTTTTGCTAATGGATCAATGGCAGTCAGTAAAGAACAAACCGTGCCAGAAAAGAATGTCCTCTTCTTCTCAGCTGACTCAGCTCGGGACAGGAAGACAGGGGGCATCTGGCATTTGGGGAAGCCCTTGATTGTCCCTTAGGAAATAACTGAAAATGGATTTGTGTTGGCCTGGTTCTAAGAAGGTCACCCAGGTTGAATTTGAAAAGCAGAGGCACTGTGTCCACAAAAGAAAGTGATAAGCAGCAAGCCATTTCTCAAAGCTAATGCCCGAGTGTGTACCACCGGGATCCATTTTATATCTCTCTACAGATTGGTGTGTTTTTCATGACAACCATCCCCATAGCAACCAGGTGTCCAGGCACTAAATTGATCTCAAGGATATGAAATCTCAGCCTGGTGAGGGAAGCCCACTCTGACTGCAGTTTCCTTGGAGTCGTTTCACATCGAGGGCTGGTGTGCAGGTCATGGGGAATGGGGCTTCTTCCTGAGGGCTCAGCTGGACACAAGGGACAGCCCTGGTGAGAGGGGAGCCTTTCCTTTTTCATGTTTACTAATAATCCAGAAGAAAGGGTAAGAAACTGGTAAATCAAATTCAAATGAAACTAAATGGGAAGATGTTGCAAACGCCAGTTGGATGGAGGAAATTATGTGGACAGCCACGGAAGAAATGACCACGTAAGACCTGCCCTGGAAAGGCCACAGTTGGAACCTCTGGGAGCCAATATTCCAAAGCAAGAAGCTAGAAGAGATTTACCAAGCAGAATTATTTGAGGAGATTGGGGCGAGGGAGAGATGATAATTAAGCTGAAAAAAAGGGACATTACAGGGTGCGCAGAGCTGAGGGCCGTGCAGGGAAGGGGCAGAGCAGTTCTAGCTGGACGAAAGCTTAGGTCTTGGTCAGGGAAATGAGGTGCTCCCATGGATTGTCCAGGTGAGCCCAGAGAGCGCACCCAGGGAAGAATGTTGAGGGCATGGGGGGTCATAGGAAGGAGTGAGGGAGAGCCCACACAACAGTATCCTCTTAAGGCAGCTCATGCTCGCCCAGAGGCAGCTACCTGCCATCAGGCTGTCCCTAAGGTCAGCCTTGCTAATGCTGAGCCCCTGCCTTCCACAGTTACCCTGTCCTGGGGCTTTGGTGATGGTCCTCCTCACCTCAACAGTGATGGACAAGGGCTCCTTTTGCTTTGAAGTGATGCCCACGTGCTTACTGCACAAGGAGGGCAGGGAAGAGCCAGGAAGGGAGGAACCGCCACGCCAGCGGGGACAACGTGACGACACGGAACAAAGGGACATGCCGTTGGAATCCTAGGAAGAAGTTTCTTAAGTGACATCTAAATAGGCTGCAAATGGCCTTTTCGAGGGAACTCCCATCCCTGTGATAATCT
The DNA here is from genome assembly GCF_000001405.40 of Homo sapiens. Lineage (NCBI taxonomy): Eukaryota > Metazoa > Chordata > Mammalia > Primates > Hominidae > Homo > Homo sapiens. The sequence goes on from NC_000001.11 coordinate 234,721,073, forward strand.
AAACCAGAATCGGATGAGATGGGGTGGACCGCATCTCGGGAGGAGCACATGGGTGTGAGGGAGGAGGGACGTGGCAACCTCATGCTCCCTTCTCTCTGTAATCACTCTGTCAACCCACGATTCTGGGAGGGGAGTATGAAATGTGTGGTTTGTCTATTGCATGAAGATATTTGGATCCCCCAAATCTAGGTGTGTCTGGAAGAAAGCTGCCCTCTCCCAGAGGAAAGCTGGGGGTTAAATCCATAACTGTCAGTGTGTCTGGCAACAAAATAAAAGGAAACCACATTCTCCATGAATGAAGGGAGAAGCAGGAAGGAGGTAGTTTTTTCTTTTTTAAAAACATGAATAAGATCCTCCAATATGTTTGAGATTATTGAGCAAATTCTTTGAAAAGGGCCCTGGGTCACTAACCAACAGATTGTGGATGTAGAAACCACATTCTTCCAACTTCCCTTCCCATCCTGACCCCAGAGATAGCAGGTTGGGTATGCTGGGGGTCTTTGTTTAGTTAACCATTAACAATTCATAAAAGTGCAGATCCCTGCACGATAAGTCCAGTCCTTGGAATGTTATTAGAAAATCCTATTTCTAGTCTGTTATGAAACAGAGGTTTTGATGTGCTGCCAGGTTTATGGGGAACTCTGGAAACAACACTTGCTTCTCTGAGAAGCTGAGGCTGGGTGGGTGTTACATAAAGCTTTCCTAGCAACTTAGCTTTATCACAGAATGGGAGGCTGCAGTGGAAAATATCAGACGAGTTAATGCAAAACCTGAGCCAACCCACTATCCCCATTTGCTCTAAGGCCAGCCAGCAAATCTGTGGGAGTGATTTTAACCCACGGGGGAGCGGCAGGCCTAGGGCTCCGGTTGACTGCAGATTCAGCCCAAGAATGCTCGGGCAGCTCAGAGCTGAAAGGCACCTTCAGACAGACCTCACGGAAGGCAAAACAGCTCTTCTTGACTCTGAACCAATTGCTGATTGAAATTCACACAAACACACCTTCCTTTTCCTTCTTTGGGTCATTCCCAGTTTCTCCGGGCACTGCAGGAACAAAGGGGAGTAAGGTCACTTCGTCGAATCCCTGCCAAGGGAAATGCGTCTAATGCATGACGGTGTCTCTGAAGTCAATGGATAAGAATCTCATTTCTAAACTCTTGGATCCAAAAGTATGCCTCTTAGGATGGAATCCTTCTGTGGTGTTGGTTGACAGCTTTTTGGGTTTTCTGAAAAGCATGTGTCCAGTCCATTGTTTTTAATCTCCCAGGGCTGGCGTGGGGGTGGAAGGAGCTGGAGGAAGAAACCATGCAAAAATCCATTTGGAAGCTGCAAATCAAAGCTAATAGCCTCTCCTGATCTGCTCACACACGGTGCCCAACCGGTGTTGTAGAGAGGAAGAGGAAAAGATTCCCCAGACATGAGGACAAGTGTAAGGCGAAGGGCTGGAAAGGGGAGGGGAGCTCGTGTCAAGAGGGAGCTGGAACTCAAGTGGGGAGAGGAAAGGCAGTGGGAGAGAAGAGAGCTCCTTCGTGGGCGGCCTCTGCGACATCTGCCCCAGGGGCCTAACGCCTCCCTCTGTGATGTCTCTGCACCCAGGCTCTGTTGCTGCTTCCTCAACCATTATTCTCATTTGGGAAGGGAAAGAGTGGTTTTATAAAACCGGTGTCCACGTGAAGGCAGCCATCCAGTTGGTGGAGAAATTTTCCCCACATAAATTAGATTACTCCAAGTCTAGATGGTTCCTAGCCCCTAGTCCTTCTCGCTGAAGACGGTACAAGGAGGGTGGCAAGGCAGAGGTCTGGAGGGAGAAGAGTAAAAAGCTCCTTGTTTGCGTTAAAACAAACAAACCCCAAGATATGCCAGTTGTTTCAGAAGGTGAATTCCTACTTCAGGTAGTCCTTAAGAGTCACCAGAAATCCAGGAGCGAAACTGCACTGAGATTCCATTAACTGTGAAAAAAAATAACAAAATAAACGGGCCACACAAAAAGAAGAAAACCGGCCTGCCCAACGAGGGCTGCGGAGTGCAGCCAGAGTCCCTTGTACCAGTAGATCATATTGTGTCCATTTAATAATAATAAGAAGGGGCACCCTCCGCGGAGGCTTCACCCAAGGAGTCCTGTCCCACCCGCAGGCTCGGGCGCCCGCCTGCAGACCTCGGACGCCGGCCAGCGTCTTGTCGTGCAAGGCCGTCCACAGCCAGCATGGCCTTAATGAGCCCATTTCAATTGAAATGAGATCAATACTACTCATTTTTCTCTTGCTGGCTCCCGAGTGATTCATGAATCTGAAAACTAGTTCATGAATCAGAGCAGGGTGGGGTGGAGGGGCTGGGGCGGAGGCAGGCAGGGGAACATTTGTGCAGTCGGCAAACCTCGATTCCTTTAATGAACCTAGCCATGAGTTGCATAACGCTGGCCTGCCTGCTAGTTTAAAACAGTCTTTTCGGAAGCAGCTTTCAGCTTGACTTATTCACCTATTTTCCTCCTGGAAAGGGGAAGAATGACACTGGGTACTGATTGTGTGTCTGTCTGTCTCAGGGAATACTTTTTTGCTCTTCGTGTGTGGAACCGTAGGGGCTTCCCTGGACAAGAACGTGTGTCCATGTGTGTGTGCATACATGTATAATGGTCTTTGTGTGCACATCCTCTGTGTGTGTGTGTGTGTGTGTGTGTGTGTGTGTGTGTGTATGAGTGAGCAATGTGTGACCGGCCTCGGGCCCTTTAAACCTGAACAGGAGCCAAGTTCATTTCTCAGCGGAGCTTCATAAGGAAGCACGAGCTGGGGCAGTTGGAAACCACATCCCTGTGAGTGCTGATTACAGCCTACTAAGGAAAATGAGATTTTTATCTCACAGGAATTCAGTTATAAAAATAAAATACAGCGTCTGGCTTGATTCAGCTAAATGTACAAGCACTAGGGTGTTTTTAATTTAACAGAGAAGCTGGACAAGAAGAATGACCTAAAACATTGCATTTAAAGAAAGTCAGAGGCGAGGGGGAGGCTACAGGAAGTGAGTGGGAGTAGAGATGTGTGTGTGAGAGAGAGAGAGAGAGAGAAATGGAGGGAGAGGGAGGGAGGAAGGGAGGAGGGAGGTGGAGAGAGAGAGAAAAAAACCACCCTGCTGGCAAATGAATGCAGCAGGGATGATGTCATTGGAACAGTTGGAGGAGAGAGGAGAAAAACAACTCGGAGCTGTGCTAATCCTGTTTGCTGCCCTGAAGGGAATGGAAGGCGGCCAAGGCAGGGAGTTCTGGGAAACCATATAAGGGTGCCAAACAAGCATTGCCGCCAACATTAGGAACTGACAGCTTTGTTCTTTGTAACTTGGCTGCCCGCCAGAGGCCTCATTTCAGCTCTGCGGCATGATTACCCTGGACGGCCGCCAGCCCCGCGCTGAGAGCTCCTTTTCTTCTCTCCGAGCTTTTTTTTTTTTTCCTCTTTCCCTCTGCCAAACATGCAGCAGTTACCATGGCAGTGGAAAGTAAAGTTTTAAAAAAACACAACAAAGTAGAGAGGCACGCCTTTATCCAGATGTGCCACATGAGCAGATAGAAAAGGCAGTTCACCTATTCATCGGGGCCTTTGACTGCAGAAGAAAACACTGGGGCACTGGCTGTCAAGTTCGGGAGGGAGGTGACTCCAGGATAAACAGAGCAGCGAGCAGCCCTGGCTGCAGACAGAGAGGGGCTGGCTCCCAGGCCCTATTTTCCTTCCCTCTCTCTCTCCCTTCCTGGGGCATTGTGGAGTGCGTAATGTGAAACGGAAAATGTCATGATTTCCACTGGGAACGTGTCCACGGTTTTGAGAAAGCTCCAGAAACTCAGGTCCATAAAGCACTGAGGGGAGGAGGAAGGGAGGGAGGAGAATGGGCGGTCACAGTGCCCTCTGGTCACCAAGGTGAACCCAGCGAGCAGGAGCCAGTACGTGGCTGTGGCCCAAGCCTCTGCCTGCTGCTGGAGCATGGCCAGGCCGTCGTCGTAGGGTTGCAGGCTGTTCGGGGGTCCTGGGTCCCACGGAGCCCTGGGACCTGAGGGACAGGGATGTTCCCTTTTCCCCCTTGGAGGTGTAGCCAGTAGTTTGGCTTTACAGGGGGACTCTGTGAAGAGTCCAGTTCCCTATTTTTAATCAGGTTCATTTTTCACCTGCTTAGAAAGTGGAACATCTCCTGAAAGGTGACAAGTCGTGATCAAAGGCAAGTCTCCAGGCAGAGAGTTGGCAGGTTTCCGAAGCAAAGGTTACTTAGAAGTGGAGGCTCCACTGCCAGCTTCCCCCCGCTGCAAAATCTGACACTCCTCACCCTCAGGGTTCAGCAAGATTCTCGGAAAGGCCTTTTCTGATTCTAGGAGGTGCTGCAGCAGGAGCTGACTCGGCCATTTCCTGGCCTCTTTAGTTGGAAGATGACAGAAAGGCGGAAGCAGGGACTGCTATTGTGAGGCCCATGGCAGCCTTCCTGTAAAACAAATTGGCAAATTGTCACCTTCAGATGGACCACAGCTGGCCCTCTGAACAGCCCTCCTTGGCCTTTCCAGAGTGTACATGATTGTGTCCCATGTCCAGGGAGAGGACAGAGCCACCAGGAGGGTCAAGGTCGTGGAGGGAAACATGGGTGAGTAAGAGATGGACCCCAGAAATCCCTCCTCATGCTCCTCCCTGCTGTTATCACAGGCCTTGGCTGCCTTTCTCAGGAGGCATTCCCAGCTCAGAGTTGGGTATGCACTAAGTTAAAGCAAAGAGGGCCCTACTGGAGTGAGGGCAAGGGGACTTGGTTGACCTCCTTTGGGGATGTTGCGAAGCAGACCCATTCCCGCCCTTGCTGGCTGGAATGCCCAGTCCTTCCCTGCCTCCCCGGGCCCCACACACCCTGGCTGACACCTGTGCTGAGGACATGGCCGAGGAGAGCTGAAAGGAGCAGAGGAGGGGAGAAACGTGTACCAGTTCCCATACAAACAGGACCCACAGGCTTGGGGTCCCCAGAGGTTGGCAGAGCCAGGGGATACTGGGAGCTGGAGGCCAGACAGGGGCACACTTTTGCCTCAGGTTGTTGAGGCAGTACAAATAAAAACTTGTTGCTGGGCAGAATTGATCCAAAAACGAACTTCAGTTTCTTCAGAAGAGGCTCAGGTTTGGAAGTAGAACTTGATATGGCGGTTGTCCCCTTTCCTTAACCTGCGACTCAAAACCAAGGGCAAGTGGATCTCTCACATCAGACACAGGAGCAGCCTCCTAGAGTCTGCTGGAGCAGCTACCCAGAGTGAGAGAGGGCTACTGACTTTGGAGCTGATGCTCAGGTCAGGGCCTGGTTGAGCCACATCCCCGTCCTTCATTCCCAGCCCCTGGTGACCTTCTAGAAGCAACACTGAGTTCGGCGGCTTGGTGTCCACTGGGGCACAGCATGTCTGAGCCTAACCCAACAGCCTCTCATTGGCTTAGCTTGTCTTCCCAGGTACTGCCTGGAAAAGCAGCCTCTGGCGGGGATGTCTGGGCCTGCCCTTCCTTCCTATCTCGACCTGGGTGGAAATCCGACTCCCTGGGCCTTGTTTTCAGAGTTCCAGTGTTCTCTCTCATAGCCTGTAAGTGGAGAAGGGCAAGCTGAAGAAGGAACAGGCTGTTTTCTCAGGGGGAAGCGGGGCAGCTCGTGTACGCCTCCCAGCATCGCTGCGTGATGGTTTCATCCGGCCCTGAGGATATGAATTTGGTTGCTCCAGGAGCTCCCCCAGCCTCAAGATCCATGAATTGGATGGAGTATGCATGAAACTGCAGAAAACCCATGACCCTCCCTTACACAGGAATGTTGCTTTCCTTTTAGGCTTGTCAGGCAGACTGAAGAGGAGGATCCTAGGAGACTTTTCTTTCCTGAGAAACCCAAAGAAAGCAACAGCAGATCCGTAGGGTGTGGGGGAAGGGGGCAGGGGAAGTGTATTTTCAGTAACAGAGACCTAAAGCAGAAACTATTTGCAAACAGGTGACCTGCTCAATTTCTCCTGTGATCTTTCATTTCTAATGCTGGTTTTTCCCCCTCATTAAAAAACTCAATTTAATTTCTTGCTTCACCTGCATGGTAAAAATAATTACATACAGACATTAAGCCTGCACTAAAAATCAATATACAGAGAGATTCCACCTTTGCTGTTAGTCATCACAGGGCTTGTTGGCCACAAATAGAAAGCATTTAAAATACTTCTCTTTGTAGAAAGACAAGTGAAACCAGTCACTAGCCCTGTTGCTGAAGAGTGGCCTTTGTATGTTAGTGAAAGTCAAGGGTCAGGAAGGAAGATGAGGCTCTAACAGGGATTTCATGGCGTCCAGAGCCCTGTTTTCTTATTGGTGAAAGATACAAGGGCTGATCACCATCAGAGAACACTAACTTCAGATGCAGGGCCTCCACGCCACTGCTGCTGCCTTAATGGACATAAGCATTCTTCTTTATTTCCTGGAGCTCAAGCCTGAACCACAGGGGGTATAAGGAGAACGCCGTAAGGCACTGCTGTTCCCAGGCCCCCGCCCTCCCATCTGCACAGCCATCTCATCGCAGTCTCCTTCAGTGTCCTTGGACTCCCAGGGCTGCTGGGGTTCAGGACAGGCTGTTTGCATGAAGAGGGTCTTTATAGCTCCACCCAGAGGGGTTTGGAGAGTTTGACGATTGCTGCAGGAGATGGGAAGCTCTTGCCATATGAGGACCCAAATAAGTATTTAGGAGCCTGCAAAATCAGCTGGGCCCTAATCTACTCTCCAGCTGTTTCTAAGAGAGGTGATCTGAAAAACTGTCACCGAGGAAACTGGTTGTGAGGATTTTTAAGAGACTTGGGAGCCTGGCTAATGTTTGAATGTTTGTGATATGACATGCTGTATCTTGCATCTTCCTGGTACAAGGTAGATCAGCGGCTGCACACATCAGTGGGTCTTTGGATAGTCTGATTTAAATGTATTCTGGCCGGGCACAGTGGCTCACAGCTGTAATACCAGCACTTTGGGAGGCCGAGAAGGGCAGATCACCAGGTCAGGAGATTGAGACCAGCCTGGCCAACACGGTGAAACCCCGTCTCTACTAAAAATACAAAAATTAGCTGGGCGTGGTGGCGCGTGCCTGTAATCCCAGCTACTCGGGAGGCTGAGGCAGGATAATCGCTTGAACCAGGGAGTCAGAGGTTGCGGTGAGCCGAGATCGCGCCACTGTCCTGGCGACAGAGTGAGACTCTGTCTCAAAAAAAAAAAAAATGTATTCCATCTGGACGTTTCTAGGATTAGTCAACAGGTTCATTGTTTTTATCTCTACAGCTTGTTTCCCATTGCAACAAGGCCTCCCACTGCAAGACAGAGAGGAAGAGCTCTGCCACCCATGTGTGTAAGGCCATGTGGATACCTCATGACATCCTGGAAGGCCACAGGGCTGTGGCCGCCATTCAACTTAGGTTGACATGGCCAAGACCATAGAGCTAATGAGTGGCAATGTTGAGCCTAGACCCTAAGTCTCTAGATTCCTCCTGCAGGGCGCTGGGTGTTGTGGGGGCGTCTCTGAGGTGGGTCAGAGTGAACCTGCAGGGGCCACTTAAAACCCTTGCAGGCCTTGGCTCCTTCTCCAAAGAAGCCCAAGCCAGAATGGCAGTAGAAGTATCTCCTGTGACCGCAAGCCAGGCACTGATTCTTAGGTTGCTTCCTGGTCCTTCTGTATGTATTGCTAAGAGCAGCAGTGTTCTTTCTTGCCACAGAGTGAGTCCTGGTGCATAAATCTGTGCTCATGTCACCCAGTGCTTTCACCTGCCTGTTCGTGATAATCCTGGGACAAGACCCTCACCTGCCTGCACGGGGGCGGGGGGGGCGTGAGGTCTAGAGACCCAAATGAAGGCCTCACTGAATGGACTTCCCTGAGGTGTCGGGGCCACTGATGTGGTGCCAGGGCCTGTCTATTCTTCCTGCTAGCCAAAGGCTGGCTTCTCAAGCCGCTGGATGAATGGGGAGCCTGGAGATGTTGAACAAGTCACGTACGTCTCTGATTGCCTCGATTTCCCCATTTTGGCCGATGGCATCGCTAAAGCATTTGATGATTCCACCGTCAAGTGTGAGAGCTACAGGAGATAAAAATTTTAAATTACTAATCACCCATGGTAATGCATGGTAATGCATGCTGAACAAACAGTGAGGAGGCCAGACGCCACCGCATTCCAAAACAGGAAGCACTCAGGAACTCTACCAGAGCATGGCTGCCCTCTCCACATCTGCACTACTGGACTGAGGGCTTAGTTGATCCATCTCTTCCACAGATTTGCAGAGATATGCTCAAGCGTGACTTAAGTGACTTAAGGCTCATGTGTTGCCTCCCTATGTCAAGCTTTTCACCCAGTGAGCTCTTTGAGAACAGGGGCTGCATTTTAGGACATCTCCCCCAGTGTCTTCGTAGAACCAGGCAAGACACACGGCCTTGTTGGAAGTGCCAAACATCTATTCTTCATCAGCAGAATGGATGAGCCCCTGAAAGGCATGAGTTGAGCTGCGCAGTCTGAACTCAGGGAAGTCCTCGCAGCGGGCTCCCAATTCCTGCCTCTCAAGAAGCAAGCTGAGCCTTAAAGATGGCTGAAAATGTGAACAGTCTCAGGGCCACGCAGACCCACCTGAGCAGTTGCTCTCTGATGTCTCACCGAGCCATCCACCATCCCAGCGAAGAAAGGGCCTGCAAGCAGACCAGAAAATGCCCCATTCAGTCATGCTGCTTAGTCATGGCCCAAACCTGCAGCGTTTAATTCTGCTCACTGTGACTTTATTGCAATGGCACACACATTTACATCACTTTATGTGCGATAACAGTAGAGAAGTTAGTTAGGTTTTTCTGTTTTTTGTTTTTTTAAGATAATGAGAAAAGTCTGTAATATTCAGCCAAAATGTATCCTTGTGGCTGGTGTAGATTTTTGGCGAAATGACACTGTACATAATCAGAAGAAGGCAAACATGCATATTATCTCCATCTCCTTATAACTGCACGAGATAACATAAAACTGCAGGAAGTATCAAGCATAAGAATAAAAGCCGTCTATTGAAGTCTACGTGGCATCCCCTGCGTGCCCCAGGAACACCCTTCGGTGGATTAGGATGAGCACGCTGGAAAATACACACCCTGCCGCTGCATCTGGCTAATGCCAGGCCCCAGCCCCTGTTCCTTAAGCCACAGATCCCCTGAGTGTCTGTGTTGTGTCTGCTGGAATTTAGTTTAGGCAGGTGACGTGGCTCCAAAGAAAGTCACAGGCTGGTTTCTGCTGCAGAGATTTGTGTCCACTTCATGCATGTTTATTGCCCGTTAACTCTATATGAAGCCACAGCAAAGGGGAAGTGATGTTAGAGAGGTCACAATCTAGTTAGTGGGGTCAAGACAAGAGATGGAGACAGCAGGTCTTGACACTCTGGAATCATTCTGATTTGTAAATATGACAATTGATGAAGGGGAAGAGTGCCTAGTCTCCAGGAGGGATTTCCTGCTGAGACCCACCAGGTATACAGTCGGTCCTTGTCTGCAGTGACCCCAGAGACATTTATTGCAACACCTGCACATCAGGTTGCAGCAACTGTGTTCTGCCTGGCCCAGGACAGACTCTGCTCCACCTAAGAGTCAGCCTCTCCAAGGCAGCAGTGGGGTTGGGAAGAGGGGAGGAGGGACCTCCATGCTGCACCAGCTCCTACAGAGCCAGCTCAAGCTACATTTCAGGACATCTTGGAGGCTACTTCTGGACAATTGTGGATTAGCTAAGTGACAGTCCAGGAACCTGGATCCCATCCTGGCCAGGGAGTTGTGGCTTCTGAGATAAGGACTTTGTGCATTGGAGATAAACTGAAGTGTTTCTGCCTCTGCTCCCTCCAGGGGCGGCTTATGGCACAGGCTCACCAAATTGCAGGCCCCAGAGCACCTGCAACCTCAGGGAGCTCAGGGGCTTCCCAGCATGGGCAGGGGAAGCCACAGATTCACTTCTCCTACAGATGCACAGACCCTGGGGTGGATGGTCTAAAGCTCAGGATCTTATAATGCAGAGAAGATGGAATAGAGCAGGAACCAGGCCCCTGTCTGGAGGAAGGAACCAATAACAACAACAACAAAACTACTGACAATGTGCGCGCTTTACAATTTTCAAAGCGCTCTCATCTCAGTCAAGGAAGGATGCATTCTTTCCACAGGCTGACGTTCAAAACCCAACCACCAGAAACATGAAGATAAAACAAAAGGAACCACCAGAAACAAACAAGACACCTGTCCATCCTCCAGGTTTGCAAATCAGATCAAGTTCTGACAACTGGTAAAGAGGAAGATGAGAAGATCCTGCCAGATAAATTCTCTGGTACCTTCATTGATCTCATTCTTTCACCATCAAAGGGGAATGCAGTAGTGCCAGCAGGAGCAGAAAAAAAAAAAAAAAACCCTAAAAAGAACAAGAGAGACTAGTCAAAGCTAGTACAGTGTTTCCCTGGTACTGAGTCATACTTTTACAATGACCCAGGCCCACGGCCTCAACTGATGACAAATAATGAGAATCCAACAATCATTCTTTCTCGCATATTCACTTGTGAATAAATGCAAGAACTGGTGTATTTGTATATGCTGTGTTTATATCTACATGATTCATTAGATTCATTAAAACCCAACTGGTAATTAGGAAAAACACTCACAAAGTTAGAAAAAAAACAGCGACGTAGACAGTAAGTTTGAATTTTAAATGGAGAAGCATTCTGTTGGTGCTTCCTGAGGTGGCGGAGGGTGTATGTGTGTGAGGGCATTGGAACAGGAAGTTGCTGGGATGTGGACCTGAGCCACCAGCACACACAGCCACGCACAGGAGGCTGATGGCTGCGGCCCAGTCGCTCACATGCCAGCATCCCCACCCTGGCTAGTCCCGACTGCCATGTTCCCAAATCTTTCTGGTTCTGGCCCCCTCGGGCTTTCTCTGGCATCTCCGGGTCTCCTGGTAGAAAGCAGACTTCTTTGGTTGTGCACTCAGATCCTTCCCAGGACCTGGCCAATGTGGTGCTGTTTCTGCTCCAGGCCACCAAGGATAACCTCCCTGCAGAATCTAACTCTCCCTTGTGCCCACATGGTCCATCTCTGCCTCAAACCAGGAGTCACCGGCTCTCTGGAGAGGTGTTAATCAGCACCCACCCTCTACCTGGCCCTCTCCAGGCATGAAGACAGCCATGAACATGGACAAAGTACCTGCTCCCAGGGAGCTCACAGTCTAGTGGGTAGAATCCAAGAACCAAATGAATAACCACCTAAGTCAACTAGGAAATAGTGCATGGTGAGAACTGCTCTGTAGAGAATCAGAAGAGAATAGGAGAGGCTGGGCATGGTGGCTTACGCCTGTAATGCCAGAGCTTTGGGGGGCCGAGGAGGGAGGATCACTTGAGACCAGGAGTTCAAGACCAGCCTGGGCAATATAGTGAGACCCCATGTCTACAAAAAAGTTTAAAAAATGAGCAGAGCATGGCAGCATGCGCTTGTAGTCCCAGCTACTCAGGAGGCCGAGGCAGGACAATCGCTTGAATCTAGGAGTTCGAGGCTGCAGAAGCTATGATCGCACCACTGCACTCCGGCCTGGGCGACAGAGTGAGACTGTCTCTAACGAAAAAGACAGGACAGGAGAGGGCACCTGGGCAGTCAGCCGAGGTCTCTCTGCAGAGGTGATCTTCAAGCTTAAGAGAAGCCATCTCTGTGAGACCTGGGGAGTGGCATTCCAGGAGGAGGGAGCAGCTGGTCCAAGGCCACAGGGCAGGAATGAGCCTAGCTTGTGTGAGGAGCCAAAAGGGTGGGCGAGGGCGGAGAGCCGGGAGCAAAGCAGACAAAGACGGGAGCAGGCAGGGCCAGAGCCTAGAGGACCTCATGCGTATGGGAAAGACTTTCAGTGGCTTTTCAGAGCAGGATGGGTGACGGCTAGAGGGCTCAAAGAGCTGTGATGGGTTTGGTTACCAATTTTTAGAGATCCTTTGATTGTTATGTGGAGAAGGTGTTCTCAGCGGAGTCCAGGGCAGGCAGGGAGATGGTGAGGAGGAGCATTCTTGGTCCTGGGGAGGGCGAGGGTTCCGACAGTGGGCTCCGCCGACCATCACTGCCGCAAGGGATGCTGGTCACCTGCCTCAGCAACACCCCTGGTGTGCAGTTCACCGGGGAGCCCCATCGGTGGACCCAGGCAGTGCCTCCCCCCATGCCATCCCTGAAGGACACTTCTACCACAGAGCCTGCCCACATCCAACTGGAGGCAGAGACGCTGGACTGGAAAGACCACAGGCCCTGAATTTGGGCAGACCTGGGTTCAAGTCCTGTCTTAGCCACTTTCTAACTCAGACATTCTGGTTAAGTGGCTGAACGCCCCTGAGCCTCAGTTTCCTCATGTGTCAAATGTGGCAAGGATTGCATCACAGAGTTGTGCTTGAAACTCATGTTAAATCCCCCACCACAGAGCCTGGTACATAGCAGGTCATCAAAATGGTCTTCAGGAGTTGGGCGCAGTGGACACTGGACTACAGGATTACATGCCTGTAATCCCAGCACTTTGGGAGGCTAAGACAGGAAGCTCGCACGACGCCAGGAGTTCAAGGTTATGGTAAGCTATGATTGCACCACTATACTCCAGCCTGGGTGACCAAGCCCGTTAGTAGTGGTGGCAGTGGCTGTAGTCATAGTAGTTGTAATAATATAATACCCACTCATTCATCAAAGGTTTATTGACTGCCTCTTATGTGCCAAGTTACGGTTCTAGGCACTTGGAGTATATCAGTGAATAAAATGAAGTCACTGCCCTATGGAGCTTATATTCTGGGAAGGAAGACAGACAAAGGTTTTTTTTTATTGTTTTTAATTTTATTTTATTTTATATATTTTTTCGAGACGGAGTCTCGCTCTGTCACTCAGGCTGGAGTGCAGTGGCGTGGTCTTGGCTCACTGCAACCTCTGCCTCCCAGGTTCAAGTGATTCTCCTGCCTCAGCCTCCCAAGTAGCTGGGATTACAGGCGCACACCACCATGCCCGGCTAATTTTTTGTATTTTTAGTAGAGACACGGTTTCACCATGTTGACCAGGCTGATCTCGAACTCCTCACCTCAGGTGATCCGCCTGCCTCAGCCTCCCAAAGTGCTAGGATTATAGGCGTGAGCCACTGCACCAGGCCAAACGTGTATTAGATTTTTAAAAATTAAATGAGTTTGTTAGAAGGTGACAAGTGCTTTTTAAATGAAATGGAGTAGAGTGGATGGAGAGAGGTGGGGTGAGGAAGGGCACAGCTCTAAGCCATGTGAAGGGTGGGCTTCTTGGCAAAGGTGACGGCTGAACAGAGACTTCTGGAGGCGAGGGAGCGAGCCACATGGATCTCCAGGGATGAGAATCGTAGGCACAAGGATCGGCCAACTCTGAGTGGGACAGCTCTGGGGTGTCTGAGCCTGCGGGGGCGGGGCACTTGGCTGGAGGGGAGAGCGAGTGGGTGGTGAGTGGCAGTGGATGACATGGGAATGGGGGGTGACCAGGTCCGGGTTGCCCAGGGGAGGACTCGGAGGCCATGGGGAGGACTGCAGCTTTCAGGCTGAGCAACAGGAGCCCTTGGAAGTTTGTGAACCAGGACAACATCCGCTTCAGGTTTCAAAGAGATCATTCCAGCTGCTGGATCGAGACAAGGCTGTCGGGTGCTGGCGGAAGACCAGTGGTTCGGGGAGGGGTGAGGGGCAGCTCAGGACAGGAGGCCAGTCGTGGGCAGTGGTCAGAAAATCAACAAAACAGCTTCATTCTGCTTACCCCACATTATCTTCAAGGATGGGCCCCGTCAATCCTGGCACACCCCTCAGTTGCATCTGTCCTTAAATGGCCACCTGCTGGCCTTCTGGACCTCCCAGAAAAGACACATCTTACCAGAAGCTTCCCTGGCCTCGCTCCAGTCTGGGCCACATGGTGACTTCTAGGCTTCCTGACTCTCAGTTCTTCCCACTCCCGGTCTCACCTGCTCCCGCCCACCCATCTCTACGTGCAGACCACGCGGCTGCTTCCTGGCTTGTGACCTTTGGCTCCATCTCCTGGCTCTTCCTTTCATCTCCCTCAGCATAGAGGCTCCAGGGACAGAACTTGGAGCAAGGACCCTCCCACGTGGCCTGGCCTGGTGTCCCCGATGCTGGGCACTGGGAGTTGAGTGGCAGTAGATAATATGCCCAAGCCTCCTCACTGGTGGGCAGCCCTGATGACCGGAGACAGCAGGCTGGGTCCAAAGTTGAGACTTGGAAGAAGGGGAGGCAGTAGAGGAGCCAGGCTCTTTCTGCACGGACTTCTGGCCGGGGGTGAGAGACTAAAATGAAGGTTAGAATAATAACAACAAGAAATACTATCACTCACTGGGCAGCCACCATAGCTATGCTAGGCACTGGGCAGGTACTTTGCATCCTCTAATCTCACTATTGTAAGATGTGGGGATTGTGCTCATATTACGAATGAGGACAGCGAGCTCAGACAGCTCTAGAAATACGTCAAGATCACACAGCTAGCGGCACTCAGAGAGAGTCCCTCCCAGCCTTGCTTCTGCAAAGCCTGAATCCTCCCCCCACCCTTCGAGCAGCTCCATCACGGTCGTCCGTGCAGCTTGGGCGTATGGGAATACGTCAGAGGCGTTTTGCTCGCCTTTCCAAAAGCAAAGCAAGAGAAGGAAGCTTGTCGCGGGCCTGGCCTGTGTGTTCATCCAAGTTGCTGCAATCTTTTCTTGTTTTTAAATTCCCTTCTGCCTTCCATACCAAGGCCCAAAGCAATGGATGACTGACCAGGCAAGCTCCTTGTTTCCATGTTTGTGTGTTAATGGGCTTTGCGTCTTTTTTGAGCAAATCTGTCTTGTCTCTTTCTCTCAGATTCTCAGCTCCTCAGGGGAAGAACTGAATCGTACATGCCTTATTTCTGGCTCCACAGCTCCGAGCTCTGAGCTCTGTACCCCGGGAGCACTCGATGGATGGTATTGACTGGCTGACTCAGGCCCCGTCTGCCCACATGAGCCATTTTGAGCAGCTTTAACTAAAATGCGGACAGAATCAGTGAGAGCCAAATAAGCAGTCTGGTCGATTCTCTTCCCTCCCACCCTATTCCGAATGCCTCCTGGAAACTGCTGGTCCTCCTCGCCCACGGTTCTCTCCTTCACTAGGGGCCCAGAGTCTGCAAAGCGCCCATCTCCTCTCCAGTGCCGTTTGCATCCTCAGAGCAGCGCCGCACCTTGAACTTGTTAGAGGCATCCTGATTCACCCAAGGCAGTCTCAGATTTGGAACTGTCATTTTTCTATTCCTGCCATCTTCACCCGACAAATAGTACTGAACACCTGCTCTGTGCCAGGTAGAAAGTATAAATGCAACCTCTGTTGTCCTGAGAAACAATAGGAGAGAAAGGTGATTCTTGAAACTTAAAACAAACAAACAAAAGGAATCTGTGGTTACTCAAGAATTTACTTACTTAGTCTACACACTAAACAAATTATAGCCTTTATTGGTAAAATTAATTGGACACAAAACAGGTCAGGGCATGTTCACTAGTTGGATCTTCCAAATTCGGAAACCCTACTTTTTAGGAATCTATATTTCAAAGGAAAGAGAAAATGAAATGCACATACACAAATTTGCTTGTAAATACGTCAAGCATCTCTGGTACAAATTAATGATATCAGTTGGCTCTTGGAAAGGGGTGAGAATTGGAGACAGACTTTTCAGAATAAATTCCTTGGATATTTTAAATTTGATGCTATGAATAGATTGCTTACTTAAAAAAAAGAAAGATATACATTTTTTTTTTTTGAGATGGAGTCTTGCTCTGTCGCCCAGGCTGGAATACAATGGCACGATCTCAGCTCACTGCAAGCTCCGCCTCCCAAGTTCAAGTGATTCTCCTGCCTCAGCCTCTTGAGTAGCTGGGACTACAGGCGCCCACCACCACCCCTGGCTAATTTTTGTATTTTTAGTAGAGACGGGGTTTCACCATATTGGCCAGGCTGGCCTTGAACCCCTGACCTTGTGATCCACCCGCCTCGGCCTCCAAAAGTGCTGGGATTACAGGCGTGAGTGACCACACCTGGCCTGATATACATTTTTTTAAAGCAAAGAGAGGAGAGCAAAAGTATAGAGACATGAAATAATCCAAGCTCTAGACCAGACCAACGAATGATTCTCCTGAAAGAAAAACATGCAGTTGCAATCATAGCCCCATCCTAGGCATATGTTGATGGCATTTACAAATAACTTCTTCCACAGGGTCAACCCTTTATGAGAGGTTGGGCACCTTGATTGTGCTTCATTAGGCACAGTCTATAATGTAAGGGTAGTTCATCTTACAGGAAGGAAAAGTGGTGAAAAAGGGGTGAGTGGGTTGACCTGGACCTGTTGATTGTAAGGCCACAGAATTCAGTGACAGCAGAGAGGGGTGGGAGCAAAGGGGCAGAGCAACCCCTCCTCCAACCGACCTCCCCTAAAGTCACACAGAAAAGGCCCCATCCTTGAGTGTGCCTGGTCAGTCATCCATTGCTTTGGGCTTTGGTATGGAAGGCAGAAGGGAATTTAAAAATAAGAAAAGGGCCAGGCGCAGTGGCTCACACCTGTAATCCCAACACTTTGGGAGGCCGAGGTGGGTGGATCACGAGGTCAGGAGTTCGAGACCTGCCTGACCAACATGGTGAAACCCCGTCACTACTAAAAATACAAAAATTAGCCGGGTGTGGTGGCATGTGCCTGTAGTCCCAGCTACTCAGGCGGCTGAAGCAGGAGAATCACTTGAACCCGGAAGGCAGAGGTTGCAGTGAGCTGAGATCGTGCCACTGCACTCCAGCCTGGGCGACAGAGGGAGACTCCGTCTCAAAAAAAAAAAACAAAACAAAAAACCTCTGGGGGGAAATAGACCCCAGAAAGAAAGACTTCTTCCTTTTTTCCGGGAACTGTCAGCTTCAAGGCGGCATCACTCCTAAGCTGCTTTCCATTTACAGATAAAAAGAGAGAGGAGACAGGAGAGAGGAGAGAGAGGAGAGAGGGGAGAAGGGAGAGAGGGAAACAAGCACAGATGTGAATTACTGGGTAATGCTGAGTGGCTTCCCCACTGAGCACGTTGCCACGGCAACACACTCCCGTGATGGGCCACTTTGGGAGGAGGGTACAAAGAATTGCAGGGAAATGCCGTGAAAAGCAGCAGTGTGAGTTTGGGCCTAGGCTTTCTGTATTTCTGGAAGCATTCTTTGTACAGATGCATTTTTCACCCCTGCCCCTGGATCTACCCCTGTATATTCAGCAGGTGTGGCAGAAGTCTAGAACTCTCACACTTCAAAACAGAAGACATTTTCCTCATCTTCTTTTCTATACTTACACCTGTCCATCATTCAGAGTGCCTCTTAAGCTTGTCTTCCATAAATAAAGCAGGACAGTGTCAGACATTTCTTCCAAACATAATATGGCTCCATTTAACCTTGCAGCTCTAATATAGACTGACTACATTTCCTGGTCTATCATAGACAGATAGATAGACAGGTAGGTAGATAGATACACACTTTTTTTAGTGATAGGGGTCTCACTGTTTTGCCCAGGCTGGAGTGCAGTGGTGCAATCACAGTGTAATATAAACCTTCAACTCCTGGACTCAAGCCATCCTCCTGCCTCAGCCTCCCAAGTAGCTGGGACTACAGGCACATGTCACCATGCCCAGCTAATTTTATTTTATTTGTAGAGATGGGGTCTTGCTTAGTTGCCCAGGCTGGTCTCAAACTCCTGGTTTCAAGTGGTCTTCCCTCTTCACCTTCCCAAAGTGCTGGGATTCAGCCACTGCGCCTGGCCACATATATATTTTGATATGAGTCCTCTGAGCATGTCTCTTTTTCTGTGCCTTCATTTTACAGTGACAGCTTCTCCTGAGTGAGACAAGCCAGCTGTGAGAAGGCCGAGCTCTGTCTCTGCCAGGCCAAGAACCTGGTTAAGTTTATGGTGGGACCGGGCAGGGGGTATTTTGGGTCAGGGGGACCAGAGGAGGAAACCTCATTGCAGTCACAGGTCTTAGAGACAGAGACCTAAGTGAGAGCTGGTCATCTCATTGGTTAAGTGGGTGTCCAATTTCTTCCTGAATGCCTTTAGGGATAGCTACCTCCCTACTTCAGGAGAAGGCCCATTCAATGACTTAACAATTTCCTTCTAAAAAAATTCAAAAAGTGCTGGTTATCCCATGGGTGGGATTGTTCTCTTATGCCCTGAGGCCCTTCCACACTCTCTTGAGCACCTAGTATGTCTCACGTGAATTCCATTGACAAGGGTGTATTATGTCCACTATGCAGTCGGGAAACGTGAGGTGCAGGAGGGTCTTGTCCAAAACTACCCACCTAGCAAAGAGCAGATCTGAAACTCTCAAAGCCATGCCCCTTCTGCTGCCCCTTGCTGCTTCCTAGAGTAATGATGATGATGACAAAGCCGGTTTGAGCCAGCCGGAGGGGAAGGAAAGGCAGAAGGAGCCGGTCCCTGCCTGCCAGCAACCCCCCTACCTACTCTCAACATAAGTGGGGGTTGGACCCAGTGTCGCTGAGCCGATTATTGGTAAGAAAATTACATGCCTTCTCTCCATCTCCCTTTTGCTGTACAGAGGAACAACCGGGATCAGCAAGAGGGAAGCTTGGCAGGTGCCAAAGATCATTTACGCCATCTTTGGTTTATGGTCAGACTTGGGAAGCTGGGCTTAAACAGGCTCTCCATAGAGTTAGTGCTGCATTACAGCAGGTATTGTCATGTACAACGGCAATAGCAATGCCACTCACTACCATTTAATGAGTGTTTCTATGTGTCAGACACTGTCTTACCTACTTCACAGTCATGATTTTATGTAACTGGCTCAAAAAGTTTAAGGGATCTGCCCAAGGTCTCATAGCTAGTAAGTGGCAGCTAGTAGGTAGCTTTAACCCTGGTCATCTGATTTCAAACCCATGCTCTTTCAACACCATGCACCAATCCCCTGAGTCATCAGTTCATTTGACAGACTTATTTGAGCACCTACTAAGTGTCAGGGGCTGCTCTAGGTACTAGGGACCCATCAGTAAATAAAACAGACAAAGATCCTGGACTTTTTGGGAGGTGAGGAGGAATGCTATAGAAAATAAACAAACAGGCCGGGCGCGGTAGCTCACGCCTGTAATCCCAGCACTCTGGGAGGCTGAGGCAGGTGGATCAAGAGGTCAGGAGATTGACACCAACCTGACTAACCCGGTGAAACCCTGTCTATACTAAAAAATACAAAAACTTAGGCAGGTGTGGTGGCACACGCCTGTAGTTCCAGCTACTTGGTAGGCTGAGGCAGGAGAATGGCGTGAAGCCGGGAGGTGGAGCTTGCAGTGAGCCGAGATCACGCCACTGCACTCCAGCCTGGGCAACAGAGCGAGACTCCATCTCAAAACAAAAAAAAAGAACATAAACAAACAAAAAACAGAGTGAGAGAAGGGAGACCAGGGATGCTAAGGCCAAGCAGATGGGGTCAGTATTGCAGGTAAGTTCAACAAAGGTCAGGGTGGGCATTGAGCAGTGAGGTCTGAGCAGGCACTGGGAGGGGAGGAGTGGCCAGAGCCCTATCAGGGCGAAGAATGTTGCAGACAGAAAGAACAAGTAGGGTCAAGGCGCGGTGGCTCACACCTGTAATCCCAGCACTTTGGGAGGCTGAGGCAGGTGGATCACCTGAGGTCAGGAGCTCAAGACCAGCCTGGCCAACATGGCGAAACCCCATCTCTACTAAAAATACAAAATTAGCTAAGAGTGGTGGTGCATGCCTATAATCCCAGGTACTTGGGAGGCTGAGGCAGGAGAACCACTTGAACCTGGGAGGCGGGGGTTACAGTGAGCCGAGATCAGACCATTGCACTCCAGCCTGAGCGACAAGAGCAAAACTGCACTAAAAAAAAAAAAAAAAAAAGGAAAGGAAGGAAGAAGAAAGAGAAAGAAAGAGAGAAAGAGAAAAAGAAAGAAAAAGAAAGGAAGAAAGAGAGAAAGGAAGAAAGAGAGAAAGAAAGAGAGAGAAAGAAAGAAAGAAAGAAAGAAAGAAAGAAAGAAAGAAAGAAAGAGAGAAAGAAAGAGAGAAAGAAGTAGGGCAAAGGCCCTACAGTGGTAGCATGTCTGGCTTTTTGGAGGAATCGCAAGGAGGCCAGTACTGCTGAACTGGAGTCAAACTGGGCAGGTGGTAGGTCATAAGATTGGAGAGATGGTGGAGGTGGGTGTAATGATTTCTGCTCTTCTCTGGGTGAGCCAGAAGCTTCTGTAGGGTCCCGAGCAGGTGTAGCACTACCTTACATTTGCAAAGAATCACTCTGGCTGGTGGGTTGAAGGTAGATGCAGACCTATCGGAGGTCACAGTTGTCATCCAGGGGCAAAAAATGGCAGTGGCTCAGAGTGACAACAGTGGAGCTGGATATATTTTGTGGGAATAAGTGGGATTTCCTGACAGTTTGGATGTGGAGTAAAAAAGAAAGAAGTCAAGGATGACTCTGAGGTTTGGGGCCTGAGCCACTAGGAGAATGAAATGCTCCCAGCTGAGATAGGAAGGCTGTGGCTGGAACAGGTTTGGTGGGAGGCAGCCTAGGGGAATAGGGAGCCCAGTTTCGGGCATGTTGAGTTGCAGATGTTCATTAGCTTCCTGGAGATGTCAAGAAAGTCCTTGGATCTATTATGAGTATCGGAAATATTTTAGAACATCTGTAAACAAGTAAGACAAGATTTCAGGTGTTTCAGCCCATGTTACCATAAAAAATTTGAAGCATTAAAATAAAAAATGTTTAAAAAATTTTTAAAAAGAGATTTCAGATGTAAGCTTCATTCATCAGGGCAACAAAAATGGGTATCAATCTTCTTGTTTCCCGTAAGACACGTCATGGAATAAGTGCCATGGTATATTCAGTACCACAGAAATTCCTGACTGGGATGGGCAGGAGAAAGGAGGGAAGTCACCCAGAAGCAAGAGAGGAAGCCAGTATAGGATTAGTAATTTTTGTTCCAGATAATCAAGGACTGGGTAAATACATGCAAAGAAACCTATGTTAAAATGAACGTAAATACCTTATCTGGAAGGACAAGTCAAATCTCACATACAGGCCTGGAAATAAAAAGCTTGATTAATTTCACATTAGGTTACCAAAACTCTTGGTACTTAACAGTTAACCAGAAATTAACCAGAGAGCCAAAAAGTAGATTATCGGTAATTCTTCTGTGAATTAAGAAGGAATGGGCAGTAGAGGCTGGGCGCGGTGGATCTCGCCTGTAATCCCAGCACTTTGGGAGGCCGATGCAGGCGGATCATGAGGTCAGAAGATCGACACCATCGTGGCTAACACGGTGAAACCCCGTCTCTACTAAAAATAACAAAAAATTAGCCAGGCGTAGTGACGGGCGCCTATAGTCCCAGCCACTCGGGAGGCTGAGGCAGGCGAATGGCGTGAACCGGGAGGCGGAGCTTGCAGTGAGCCAAGATCAGGCCACTGCACTCCAGCCTGGGCAACAGAACGGAGCGAGACTCAGTCTCAAAAAAAAAAAAAAAAAAAGAAGGAATGGGCAGTAGAATTGTTTTTCTGTAATACCTGCTCATACCAAATTTACTTTTAAGTGTCAGCAAATTTCTTGGCTAATTATCACAAGTCTCAGAAAAACGACGTGGCTATATTTCAATAATTGGAGCAAGAATTTTAGGTAGGTCACCGCCCGCAGCCCGTCCTCTCTGAGCCCAAGCCACCCCGTGCACTTCCGTTTAGTATGTCTACTTTGAGATGCATGGAAATGAAACCCGTCAATTCAGATCTTGGGAGATCTCCAGCCAGGGATGTGAGGTGTCAAGTATGAAATAATCACAAAGACGTTGGAAATAAGCTTCACCACCTCATTCTGAGCCAAGTTCAGAAAGTTCATCTAAAATGCCAAGAATGATGCCGGAAGACCCTGGAAGAGCTGAGACTTGAATGCAACAAACAAGATTTTGAGTCTTGTTGGAGAAAACGGGGTGCCTTCTCATAAAACCTGCGCAGACACCTCAACGCTCTGACCTGCTTCTCTCTCTTGCTAGGGCTCGTGACTCTGTTTATAAAACATCTCTGACTCTGATGGTTAAATGCTGGAGTCTGTGTGCATGGAATTAAACTAAGACAGCCCGGGCACTCGTGGGCACTAGCAATCTTTTTTGGATGAAGAGTAGCAAGGAACCATTCCCTATTCCTTCATCTCGGCTCTGTCACATACCATGTCATCGTTGTGGCTCCAACTCTACGGCCAAGCGACAGTCTCTGTCACCGTAATCAGGCTTAGGACATGGACAGGGGCTCTCACAGGCTCTTAAAGAACCAGGAAGGGTACTGGGTGTCCGATCACACACACACACACACACACACACACACTCTACTTGTGTATCAGATGTCCACTGACATTGGCCACATTACTGCTAGATTTGTGAACCAATTAAAAGCTGTTCCATTTGATAAACATTACATGTATATGCATTCTATACTGCAGTAATAATTATCTCTTTGCATATCTGTTTCCTCACAAGAGCTTGAGTCCCGTCAAGACAAGGATAAGCCCTTCCACTATAGAGCCACAGCAGGAAGCCCTCAGCCTGGTACACAGTGGGCATCCAATAAACCTGAATGGACAGAATGAGGAAACTGAGACACAGCTCTTGTGTTCAGGGCCAGTCTGAGACCAAATCTGGAAACAAACTCGGAATTTCCAATTCCAGGCTAAGTGCTTTTGCCAGAGGGAAGATGAAAGCGTATGTTTCAAGCTCTGCAAGATCCACAGAGAATTTTTTCTAAGCTCCTCTCTAAGAAGGCGCCAAGGAGCTCGATGTCTTTTTCCCCTGGACCCAAGCTTTTATGCCTCTGCCCAGTGGATGCGGCTTCTCCGCCGCAAGGAGTGCAGCTCCCTCCTCATCCGTTGGGAACATAACAGCCGAAGCTGCTCCCCCACAAGCTGCAGGATAAATGTCAAGTGAGGAGGGAATGCTGCTGCCTGGGTAGACTGCATTCTACTCATTCTGCTGAGGGTCATGCTTTGAAAATATCTCTAATTTTGTTTTCATAGCTTGTTAACCTTTTCCTTCCCAAAACAATACCCATGTTTGTTTTGGCACCACTCGCGTCCTGCATACTGAGGACGGGTCTGAGTTGGATGCACAAAAGCATTTTTCCCTTAATCTCATTACAAGGGCTCCTCAGTCTTTAATTCTTCCCAGGGCTCACTTGCTGTGAAGTGATTTCCTCTTGGAATCCGTTTCTCTTTGTGAAGCTGGGAGAGCAAGTCTGTTTGGTTTTGTAGGGATGTGGGGAAGGAAAGCAAAGACAAAGGCAAAAACAAGTGGTGCTGGGGTGCCCTGGAAGTTCCTAAGAGCAAATGGACCCACTCTGAAATGTCTGCAGCTGAGACCAGTGATACTCGAATTCCAGTTTGAATGAGGATCACGCGCTGAGGTCACGTACTTACTGCTGTCTCCTGTCTACCTGAGGTTTACAAAATGTGTGAATAAAGGCGCCAGTGCTTTGACAGCTGGTCTTGCTCATGCGTTTAGAGAGCATCTTATTTCATCCTTTTTGCCCCTCGAATGTTGCGCATCTGACAGTTTGACCACCCTGCCTGGACTCTTACATGCATGTGGCATTTCTTTTTCTTTCTTTTTCTTTTTCTTTTTTTTTTTTTTTGAGACAGAGTCTCGCTCTGTCACCCAGGCTGGAGTGCAGTGGTGCGTCTCGGCTCACTGAAAGCTCCACCTCCCGGGTTCAAGCGATTCTCCTGCCTCAGCCTCCCGAGTAGCTGGGACTACAGGCTTATGCCACCACACCCGGCTAATTTTTTGTATTTTTTTTAGTAGAGACAGGGTTTCACCGTGTTAGCCAGGATGATCTTGATCTCCTGACCTCTTGATCCTCCTGCCTCGGCCTCCCAAAATGCTGGGATTACAGGCGTGAGCCACCACGCCTGGCCTGCATGTGGCACTTCTAACATGTTCCTCCTAAGCGTTGTGGACAAATCCATACTGAGTTTTTATTCTCATGGATTCATGTTTATTCTCAATACTTGAGGAAATTGTAAGTTTAACCAGCTTTCTGTTAATTTTACTATCCTTTCTCATGA
The DNA here is from genome assembly GCF_000001405.40 of Homo sapiens. NCBI lineage: Eukaryota > Metazoa > Chordata > Mammalia > Primates > Hominidae > Homo > Homo sapiens. The sequence continues at coordinate 234,745,161 of NC_000001.11, forward strand.
AAAGATTTCTTTTCCCATCTGAATTGTTTCCTAGATTGTATCTGCAAATACAAAACTACAATGAGGGACAGAGGATTCTGGAAAATGAATGGGGATGCTGGGGGAAACTAACAACACCAGCGACAAAACCAAGCCACTGGAGCCTGAACCAGCCAGGTGCCTGAGGAAAAGGGGAGGGAAGGTTTTCTCTCCCGCGTATTGTATTCCTGTTGTATATTGTACATGTAATGCATGCTAGCTGCCATTTAGAATGGAAAAGCATGCCCTCACCACAGTCAGGCCCACATTTTGCTTTCCGTGTTAAAGAGAGAAATGGCGTAACGTGCTCGTGAAGAGGCGGCACCTGCAGCGGTTGGAGCTGGCACCCTTGGCAGACTTTCTGGGACCGAGTCCTAGCTTTTTCTCTTATTAGCACGTTGCTTCCCCTCATTTATAGAATGGGCCTCATACCTACCTCATGGGGTATCAGACAGCATCCTTTCTTTTCACCTGATGCATTAATTTGGACATGAACTGAGAGAAAAGAAATATAAAACATAGTCCCTGCTTTTCAGTAGCTTAGAATCCAGTGAAACTTACCAATATAAAAGAAAAGGATACAGGCAAATTCTTGACAGCATCTCCTCTGTACTCACACATCCTCTCCCACTATCTATTATATTTTCATGTAAAAACGTGTGTGGGTGAGGGAAGGATTCTGGGAGGCTTCGTCCTGGAGCTCCAGCGGCTTATCAATCACCATTAATCTTGGAGGCTCACAGCCCCCATGCCCATTTGCTGAAGAGGAGTGAGTCATCCTGACTCGAACAGCAATGCTGACAGTTAATTGAATTCCAGAGCCAACGTTTCTTCCTACCTACAGCAATTCTTCACAGCTCAGAGCTCAAGATTGCTCTGAGCAAGACCGCTGTGTTTACGAGGCAGAGAGAAAGAGAGAGAGAGGGTGCCTTTTTCAAGTGATGGAAAGGCCATGTTGACGTGTAAGATTTCGTTTTTCTTTGACTTTCAGGCTTAAAACTTATGCAAACTTGGTCCAGAACAAAATGGACCAAACAATTATGGTTGAAGATTGCTATTAGTGTCTTTCCATGGGGGCAAGGGGCACTGACAGAGAAGCCTCTTTCCACTCCAAATGTAGCAGGTGTAATCTGCAAGCTGCCGGGCCCTCTTTTAATAATCCTTTATCTTCCCAGGGATGACCAAGGGCAGTCATTATTTGCTGACTGGTCCGCTGTTGAAAAGGGAGGAAAAATTAACGCATGTGTAGAAAATTTTAATGAGGAAAGATTTATTTCTAGAGTCCTTTCACAACATGTGTATATTTCAAGAGGAGAGTGACTACGCAAAGTGACAAAGACAACAATTTATATTTGGAACAGCTAGTATTGGGTGATGGGCTGATTGGTTTGATGGAAGCCAGGTTGTCACGGACTGAAAAGGAAGCAGGTGGTAGATAAATGGAGGGAGCAGTGGATGATTCATTCAAGTCATTTAACACACTGTCTTGGGAATCATGTGCGCACAAAAGCAAACAAACTTTTTGGGAGATTCCAAATTAGGCAGTTGGGTCTTGGAAAGAGGCCCCCCATGTGGGAAGCTCGAGCCCCCTCCAGAAGGCTCTTCAGAAGCTGTGTTAGAACAGTGTGTTTCTCATGGTCGGTCCCTGACTCATTATCCCTGGTTCCTGGTTATACAGGATTTACCTGAAGCAAAATGACCACAAAGGCGAACTCCTCCAGGCCATCTCCTCTTGAAGTCCTCTTTGTTCACAGCAAGGCCCCAGGTCACAGTGCACAGCCTGCCTGGGCCTGTCTGTCCAGGATCCAGCCCAGGCTGAGAAGCCCTGCAGCAGGCAGAAAAAGGAAGCCTGAGGTTTGAGGAGAGCGCGGGGAGGGTGGAATGGAGCCAGAGGCCGTGGTGCCTTGGAGGCCCAGAGCCATGAGTCCCGCACCCTCATGGAAGCAACGGAGGGATCCCTCCCGGTTCTCAGTGCAGACAACTTCCTTTCCGACTGTGGCCCTGAGGATCAGAGAAGAACACCTGTCTACAATGGCAGAAAGCTTAGGGATTTACCTCTTCAACTACCTCTTGTTACAGAAGAAAAATCTGACTCACATGTGATCACAGCAAAACAATCTGAATGAGACCCCTCTTCTGATTTATTCTAAGCCCCCTCTCAGACTGCCCCTAGGCCAACAGGGAGTTGGGGATGGGGAGTGAAAGAGTTTTAGACAAACTGATTGGTTCGGCAACACAGTCTTCCGGCAGAATTCTTACTCCTTAGTCTTCAATAACAGGTTGTAGAAATTCATTCAAGTATGTAGGTTTGAGTCCTGGCTAATAGCTACCCTTGGAAAAGTTCTTAACTCCTTGAGTCTTGGCTTCTTCCCCTGAAAAATCAAGAATAATCATTGTAGTGGTAGTAGTAGTAATAATAATAATAATAATATCTGACTTATTGAACTTTCAGGATTACTGTGAAGATCTAATGACAAAATGAATATAAAATTACTGAAAAAGTATGAAGCCCTCAAAGTATCATGCAGTGTTGACAATAAGTTCATTGCATTTCAATCCCTTAAAACAAACAATTCAATTCTATTTCTATATTTCTATATACTTATAATGATTTTCACACACACTCACACACACACATACACACTTTAGCTCTCTCTGATCTTTATACACCGAGTCTCATGCTTTTACATGCATTTACCATCTGCTGTGCATAAAGCCTCACTCTGCCCAGAGCAGAGTTAACAGAAATTAGGGCTGAATCCTGACTCAGCCTCAGTTATTCACCTGTAACATGCATATAATAATTCATAAACAGTGGAGGTTTTTCCTTGCAGTGGACAGATGCTAAATCATTATAATGGTATCCCCATCCTCACATAAGTTTGATGGGCATGTAATGTGTGTTTGAACTTACCTATGGATTTCCTAGCCTGGCACTCAAGGCCCTCTGTAGTGTGAGCCTCTCTTCCTAGCCTCTAGTGACTCCCGCCGCCTCCCATCTCCACTCACTTCAACCTTAGCGGCCCCGTGCTTCCCACACCAGCGCAATGCTTCTCCTTTCTTCACCCAGCTTCCTCCGCTGGAAGAGGAGGATGTTCCCCTTTCTTTCCCTGCATTTCCAGCTCTTTGCCTCTGTTGGACCCTGTACTGTCAGCCCACAATGACTTCCTTGTGTCCAAATTCTGCCCAGTCTCCTAGGTCTGGGCATTTGCTCCTCCCCTTTGAGATTTTTCCCAGAGCCTCTTAGCAAAGTCACTTTGCTCTCAGTTTTTGTGGCTCCTCGCCTGAATTTCCTCTGCACCACATTTCACTTTCTGCCCCATGATTCAGGTATGCATGGACATGCTTTCTCTCTTCTCTAAAATAAAAACTTGCTGAATGAATGGATAAATGTGTTGTCTTGGAATAATGGATTGATGTTTGTAGCTGCTTCCATAATTAAATTAAAAGCTTTTTAAAGGCAGGGACCACATCTTATCCGAAACTATAATTCAATTAACCAACACGTTGGAGGGCCTAGTCTGAAGTGGCACTGGATAAGGTGCTTCAGGGGTGGATGACAGAGCCTGTGAGACACATCCTTGCCCTTCAAGCGTTCACAAGCTGGTTGGAAAGGCAAGCCCCTCTCCTCTAAAAAAATGCATGGAGAAAACAACCATAAATATCTGTTAATGGGGGAGAGATTAAAAAAGAAAAGATTATTGTATTCATGCAATTTACTACTACTCAGCAATAAAAAGAAACAAACTATTGATAGACTTACTCAGCATTGATGAACCCAATCATTATGTTGAGCAAAAAAAGCCAGACATAAGACTGTATACCAATTGATTCTGTTCATATGGCAAGTCCAGAAGAGGGAAAACAAAACTTTGATGACAGAACTCAGATCACTGGTGGCCTGGGTTGTCTGGGTTGGTGGTGGGAACAGGGAGGGGGGTGATGAAAGCAAACAGGCATGCAGGAACTTTCTGAAGTGATGGAGATGCTTCATCCTGATTCGGATGGTGCTTACACACATGCGTTTGTCATCAAACTGCACACTTCAATTCTGTGCATCTTATTGTATGTAAATTTTATTCCAATTGAGTTGATTAAAAATGAGTAGAGAGGCCAGGCTCAGTGGCTCATGCCTGTAATCTCAGCACTTTGGGAGGTGGAGGTGGACAGATCACCGGAGGTCAGGAGTTCGAGACCAGCCTGGCCAACATGGTGAAACCCTGTCTCCACTAAAAATACAAAAATTAGCTGGGCATGGTAGCACATGTCTATAATCCCAGCTACTTGGGAGGCTGAGGCAGGAGAATCGCTTGAACCCCGGAGGCAGAGGTGGCAGTGAGCCAAGATCATGACACTGCACTCTACCCTGGGTGACAGAGTGACTTCATCTAAAAATAAAAGGAGTAGAGAATTAAGTCGTACATTAAAATGTAAATAACAGTTCAAAACAACCATGATGGAAGAGATATTGCAATTCACGGTTAAAGCAAATTGAGTTATACAGAAAATGGTGTTGAGAGTCACAAGGAGAGACTCATTCCTTTGGACCCTGGAGGTCTTTAAAGGAGGAAAGTGAAGACCTTAAGGATCACAGAGGGAAGGAAGAGTGTCTGCCAGGTGGGTCATCTTATGTTCCCCCTTTTCTTTTCCTTTTTTTTCCCCCTTTTTCTTTTAGAGACAGGGTCTTGCTTTGTCACCCAGGCTGGAGTGCAATGGCTGGATCATAGCTCACTGCAGCCTCAACCTCCTGGGGTCAAGCCATCCTCCCATCTCAGGTTCCACAGCAGCTGGGAGTACAGGTACATGCCACCACACCTGGATAATTTTAAAAATTTTTTTTGTAGAGACAGGGTCTCGCTATGTTGCCCTGGCTGATCTCCAGCTCCTGGCTTCAAGGGATTCTCCTGCCTTAGCCTCCCAAAGCACTGGAATGACAGGTGTGACCCACTGCACCCAGCCCTCATGCTCCTTTTGAATTTACCACAGAACCCCAGAAAGCTCATGACAATAATTTAATAAGTAAGTGATCTCATAAGAACGCATTCTTCCGCTCTCTGTTCAGGAAGTGTAGATATAAGCCAATCCAAGCCCATGTCCACACACACAGGCTTGTGGGCCCTTCATGTCTCTGCTCCTTTCTCCAAGCTGCTCTTTCTGCCTGGATTTCCCTGCTTCATCCTTCCAGGCCTGGAGACATCTCGCTGTTTCCTCAAGACACAGCTCCTTCTCCTTGGAGTCTTTAGGGACCCACCCTTCCAATCTCTTCAAGCAAGGCTGTCTCTCCCTAGGTCAGGTTCTCAAAGTGACAAATCCATTCTGCTCCCCTGATACTCCCCTATTGCACCGAGGTTAGCAGCCTCCAACCCAACTGTGAGCAACCCCTGACTAGGTGTTTGCCAAGCAACCAGTTACTTTTCTAATTAAACAACAACAAAAAAATGTGTTCATCAGGCCACACCACATATTCAGGGCCAGCGAAGGGCCAGTCTAGTTCATTTTCATCTCGACCCCTTTCTACTTGGTGGGACTCTCCACGGTTGCAGGCGGCTGGATCTTGTGCTCTGCTGGCCTAGTGGCCTGCAGGAGAACTCTCTAGAAGGTTCCTCTGAGTGTCTCTTACCATGAACCTACAGGGCTGCAAATAACAGTCTTCAGGCACTTCTGCAAGTAGCAGAAAGCCCCTCCACACAACACACCCTTCTGCCCATTAGCGCCAGGCTTCCTTGTGGCAGGAGACCAGAAAAGGGGCAACTGCTTCCAGAATTGTAGTAGATCTAACAGGAGAAGAATCCAAATGATCGCCTGGTCCCACAGATAGGGAAACTGGGTTTAAAAGGATGAAACTATAGTCTTACTAGGAGGACCTTTAAAAAATGAACAGAGAAGCAAAAGCAAACCTTTTTGTCCTCCTCTAAACACAGGGGGTGGTGAGAAAAAAAATAAATCAATCAAAGTCACCTGGAACAGAACCCATCAGTAAGGAAAGACAGGCTATTTTCAGGTTCTAAAAGGATACTAGTAACAGTCGGGGGTGGGGGGAAATCCACATAAAAACTGTGCTTGACAGAGGCCTTTTGAAAGCAGATAAAGGTGTGTTTTGCTGCCTTGTGGCCTTGAGCCTTTTCACTCTGCTTAGTCCAGCTGGGCTTGGAGATTGAGGTCTGGGAGTGTGATTGTCTATTTGTTCCAACTGATACTGGAGTTGTTTGCTTTGAACAATGTGACTTTGTTTCTTTGTCAGACACGGCCAGCAGCATAGCTGTTGCTTAGGAAAGGAACAAACACATTAGGAGCTTGCTAAAAGTCAAACAATGTTTTGTATATTGCAGAGTATTAGCGAAAGTACTGTGATACTGGCCAAGGCAGCTTAGTGTGGCTCTAAGGACCATAAAATTCAAGCATTGTGGTGGCAGGGAGTGATTTCCTCTCCAATGCCATCCTGAAGCATATGCACTGGGCTCTGAGCTATTTCCAAGAAGATGCTGAGAGCAGTGGATCTGGAGCCAGGAATGACAGCCTTATATTATTTAAAAATCATTGCAATTTGCTCCTCCCAGAAGAGAGGATCCATTAGCTGCATTCTGAAAGGCAAGAAGACTCCCAAGCTAAAAGCCCTGGCTGGTGTGAGGCACAACTATAATAAGGGCACCTACTGTGTGCCAGGCGCTGGACTAGCGCTGTAAGTACTGCCTGTGCATTACCCCAGTAACCTCAGTGCGTGGAAAGAGGGGTGTCTTAGAGCCAGCTCACAAGAGCCGATTATGTCTATCTCTTCCCAGCTCCACATCCAGTGACATCATGGCAACAGCTTGAAATTGGCCATGGTGGAGGTACGTACACCACGGAAATTGGCAAGTGCTATGAAATCAGAGGTTTCTTTTCGTTGATTGGTTGGTTTCATTATTCGAGAGCTATTGTTCAATGTTTACCAGCACAACCACTGGATAGGTAGTACTCTTATCCCCAGTTCACAGATGAGAAGTTGAGGTTTTAAGTAACTAATCCAAGGGGTCATGCAGATTTCAAATTCATGTCTTCCTGAAACTAGACTCCAGGGAAGAGCCCAGTGCAGGCTGAGAGCTGTTGAGGGCTGTCTGGAGGGAGCAGGAGGTGGGGTAGGGCAGGAAGCCATTGGGATCCCCAGTAATCCAGACCCAGTGGAACCTGCTTTGAAGCACCCTTCAGAATTGAGAGACTGTGCACAGGGGCCCCAGGAGAATTGGATGTGGCCTGGCTCCAGCAGCCGCCCTCACTACAGTGGAGGGTCCCAGGACCTTCCGCTACCCTGGGGCCACCCTTCCTCATGTATGGGTTTTTCTTTCCTCTTTGGGACAACTAACTGATATTCCGTTTTAAGAACACATAATACTCTGGCCATTCCTGGGGTCAACAACCTCTCAGAGGTGATCAGGGTAAGGTTTTGTGTGTCAGGAATAATTCTTCAGTGTGCTAATACTCTGGTCTGCAACCTTCAAACCCAGTCTTCGTGACTGACTGGAGCAAGGCTGGGGCAAACAGTATGTCAGGAAACTGCACCGTAGATATTCCGATGTCAGCACAGAGAGGATTCTGAGACCCAGACGATGTGGATATGACTTCTGAGTCACCCATGTGAACCTGTGATATGGAGGGGAGGTGGGAAGTAGGGAACGGAGTGATGGAGAAATGGTGGAGGCTGGAAATCTATGTATTATGAGGGAGGAATGGGGATGAAATTATGCACTGGAATTCTTTACCTCTGATGATCAGGTAGGAAAGAGGGGGCAGCTACTCCTTCTCCACCTCCTCTATCGCCTGCATCTTCTTTCTTCGGCTGCAGACACGATCCCTGATTTCCCTTCTGTCTTGGTCAACAGCCTAAAGATAGATAGTGGCTGCTGGGACTGATGGCGAGTTTCAGTTACTTTTCTGCCATGGAGACCTCAAATCATCTCAGTCCACAGCGCATGTGCATCATATTTGCTTTCAACCCCAAACCGAGCTCTGGAAAACCCAGGTTTGAGCCACAGAGAGCAATCGCTACCTTTTCAATAAAGCCTATGACACATAAAATGCTATAGAAACACAGTTTAGTGCCATCTTGTCCTTACTGTGTAAATCAGAACAGTCATGGTTACCTCTTATCGTGCATCAATATGCCTTACAAGATAATGGAGATGGAGCAGTAATATTGTTGAGTTTTTTTCCTCCCTTCTTAGCTTTCCAAATCTTTACTGACTTTTTGAAATCGCTGCCTAGCGCAGTAGCAAATGATGTATGAAATGAAATATTGCTTCCCCCAGCCAAGCAATGGCTTCCTCATCATTGCTTCAGTATTTATTATTTGAAGTTGTGTTTGGGTTGGCTACACTCAGAAAAACACATCTTTTTTTTTTTTTTTTTTTACATTAGACCAAGAAAGAAGGTGAGGAAGGAGAGAAGCAAGAAAGATTTGTTTAATTAGAGAAATAGACTAAATCTGTATAGTATCAAAATATTGTTTTGACTGGCATTTCCCTGATGTTTTCAGATTGTCCAAACATAGAAAAGAGAAGCCTTCTTCACTGCCTTTTTGTACCTTCTTTCATGGGGGTTCACCATTAACTATCTGTCAAGATACAGGAGAAATACCATCTTCCTGTGGAGCTTTTCCCACCAGTTTTTAGCATGTGATGATTCCTGCCCCCTTTTAATTGTTCTGATCTTTCTGCAGTTGATGTCTGCCATGGACTGAATATTTGTGTTCCCCCAAAATTCATATATTGAAATACCCGCAATCAGATGGTATTAGGTGGTAGGGATTTGGGAGGCAATTAGATCATAAGGGAGGAGGTCTTATGAATGGCACTAGTGCTCTTATAAAAGAGGCCCCAGATAGCTCATCTGTCTCTTCCACCACGTGAGGAAACAGTAAGGAGATTGCCGTCTATGAGCCAGGGAGTGGGCCCTTGCCAGACACTAATCTGCTGGCATCTTGATCTGAGACTTCCCAGCCTCCAAAACAGTAAGAAATAAATATCAGTTATTTATAATCCACCCACTCTATGGTACTTTGTTATGGCAGCCCAAACACCCTAAGACATTGTCCAGGATCACATAATTAACTTTTTATTATAGTTTATTCTTTCCCTAATAATCTATATATAAAATTTAGCTCTTTTTTATGTCGGCATGTAATGTCATCTCTTGCTCTCTAATTATCAGTGGAAAGTAAATCTATGGTCTGAGCTCACATTCCAGTTTTGCGACTTACTACTATTTGTGTGTAACCTGAAAAAATTTACTTCACTTCCCTGTGCCTGAATTTCTTACATGTAAAAACATATTATAACATATCATGTGTTTGCAAAAGCTATTAATTTTTTATATTATTTTAAAATATGTGTGCCTTTTCCCTTGCCTACCCATGCAGACGATGAGCTTCATGAAGTCAAGAATCATTTGTATATTTCTTGTGTTCATTGTGGAATCGAGCACCATGTTGAATGTTTGTTGATTGACAAGTGTTTCACCTTTCTTTCTTCCTGTCAGTTTAGGTTTTAGCCAGTGCATTATTATAAGCCAGACAATTACTGGAGTTACTCGAAGCAACAGAAAATATGCTCCCAAGTTCAATAAGCAAAAGCAATAGATCTAAATGACAAGCAACATGTATCAAAAGAGGCCACACATTCATCTTTCTGTGTGATCAATTTTGGGCAGATGTGATACTACTTTTCTTGTAAAACAAGCAGTGATTTTTATGTTCTGCATAAGGGTTGTATTCTATTTCTACATTTTGAATGAAGGTAGGTTTTACCCAAGTTTAGTAATGATAGCTACGTTTATTGAGTGTCTACTGTGCAGTGGTATACTGATAAGTAAGTTCTTGGGAAGACAATATCCCCGCTTTGTGGCACTGGCTGATTTCCATGGTGAAAATACTCTTGCCACGGCCAGTTTCAAGCTACCAGTGTAATGCCACCAAACACAATCTCACCTCACCCACCAGTGGGAGCTGCTCCTGCCACCTCCCAAACTGTGTCAGAGCTACACAACTATTCACAAGAATTTTCACAACAACCCTACAAGGAAGATATTATTGATATTGTTGGCTCCCATCCTACCAATGAGAAAACAGGCTGGGAAATTATTTGCCCAAAGTCGCATAGCTAATAAGAGGTGAGTTTGGGATTTAAACAGAGGTCTGCATGACTCCCGAGCCCACTGCCTTTCCAGTGCACCCCACTTCCTCACCACACAGCTGTGCGTGAATGGAAGAATGTGGTGACCCACTACTCACAAACTCTGGCAACACTGGGTGAGCGGAAGTGTCTCCAGACAAAGACCCATGACTGCCCCCAAAATGCAAACCCAGCCTTGGAAGACATGAACTTTCTCACAAGCTATGAGGTGGCTTCGCTGGGCAGCTGTTATCTTGCTCAGTTTTGGCACATTACCATGTGATGCAATCAAGCCGGTCACGTGGCACCCACTCAGAGCATCCAGCGGCACCACAAGTAGTCAGAGTGTCTGGAGGAGGGCATGGGAAGAGCCCTCCTCACAGAAAGGCTCAGAAGGGACACAAACGCCCCTGCCCTTCCAACAGCTGCTGGCCAGCAAAGTACATCGGCTTTCAGTGATCCTGCATGTGAGTAGAAAGGGTGTTTCCAGCACATCCCAAAAAGGGTTTCAGATAAGTCCTGCAGCTTCGGGCTCTTTCTTCCACAACTTCTCCCTGTTTTTTAAATGGGGGACAAGAGTGCTTGTCTCTCTATAACCCCAGGAGATTCATGAATAATGTCCCCGAAGGCTGTAAAATGACAAGATGGCAAGAGGCACATAAACACAGTGTTATCATTTTCCTCCACGACTTGGTTTTCTAGATGTTGCACCTTGCTATAAGCCCCAGATGGAACCACAGCAAACCCAATAATTGCTTTCCACACTGATGGCAGTTTTAAAGAGGTCCCGCATTGTGAAATAATGATATTGACAAAAATAATAATAATACCTCGTGTTTGAGTAACACCTTTCTTCTTAGGAGCTCAAAGCACTTTACAGACACAAGAAACGTTGTCAACAGACGGACAATTAATAGAAAAAAAATGACTCATGTTTTAAGAAGTTACTCCGTGGGGGATAATGGTGCTGTTATCCTCACAAATCGACTGGTGAACATAATATCCATTTCTGGTCTAAACCAGGAATAAAAATGCCAGGTAGGACAAGAGCAAGGGTACCTGGAGTGAGCAAGGAAATCAAGAGGGCTCCTCTCCCGTCATCTACCTGAACACAGTCTAGACACAGCCACAGCCTGGGACAATTCTGGCCCCAAGTGACCCCATGACAAGAGGCTGCTCAGGGACCCGGGTGATTAATATGACGGGACAACCACCCGCTTTGTAGACTTTTCTTGAGGCTTCTTTCTGGGGTTCAGATGGAGGCTGTTGAGTCATCACAGCGGATGCTCAAAAGAAAAGAAAATCAAGAAGCCCATCCCCAGGGCCCTCCTGCTAAATGAATGGCAGCCCCACCCTGCTCCTCACCCACTTCCCTCCCCTCTGCTCCCCTCAACCTCCTGCGTTTACCTCCCGGTACTCACCCAAATCTACAAGCTCTGCAAAGCCAGCTGCAGATATCACAGGTGATTTTGAGCTGTAAGAAATCATGAAGCAAAGGCATTTGCTGAGAGGCCACTCTGCAAAGTGCAGTGCTGGATTGAAAGGGTGGGGAGTGAGACCAAGGAGAGGGGAAGGGAAGGGGAGAAGCATTGATTTAAAAGCTGAGTGTGGAATGTACCAGGTTTGTTACCTGTGCTAGCTCATTTGATCTTCATCAAATGCCCTGCGATTGAGGTGTTGTTATCCCAGTTTTTAGATAACAAAGCCAAGCATCAGAGAGCTTAAGCAACTTATCAGGGGCCACACAGCTGTCAAGTAGCAGAGCCAGAAGGAAAATCCAGGTGAGTCTGGGTTTCCACTTCAACGACAAGTTAGGGAGAGGAGCTGAGAGTGAGCGTCGAGAGCTGTCAGAGCGGGCATTGAAGACCGTGGTGAGGAGTTGGAGGCTGGTTGTAAAGTCATGGGAAACTATATCCAGGCATCACCCAGATGAGCAGGGAGGAGGAATGGATCTGAGGGGCACTGTAGAGAAGGGACTTGGGGGATGGATTGTCTTTGGTGTATAAAAGGAAGAAGGTGTCAAAGAGGATCCAAGGCAGCAGCTCTACATCCTTGTTGAGTCCAGAACCCCTGTGTGACGTGCAACTGAGAACGCGGGATGCTTCCCCCAGAAAATGCACACAACCCACTCACAAACATCAGCGTCATTTTGGGGGAGTTGCTTGGTTCAAGATTAAGGTTTCTCGCCCTGTGAAGGGCCTGAAGTGGTGAGAACATCGGCATCCTGCGTTTGGCTTATAGGACTCTCAAGACAATTGTATATTTATTTTCAGAAAAGAAAGGAAATATCTCTGAAACTTGAAATTAAAAACCTTATTTATTTTAATATAAGAGAGGAGTTTCCTTGTTTCCGTGTTTCTTCTGCAAATCTGATTAGTAGGACCGCCACAGATGCCACTAAGGGTCACTTCACAAATCACCCTATTCTTCTATGCTTACAGATACCTATTTGCAAAAAGGCTACAAGTCCTAGTAACTGGATGAAAGACATTTGGGGACAAAGGTCAAAAACGAGGGGAGGTTGGGCACGGTGGTTCACACTTGTAATCCCAGAACTTTGGGAGGCTGAGGCGGGCGGATCGCCTGAGGTCAGGAGTTTGAGACCAGCCAGGCCAACATGATGAAACCCTGTCTTTACTAAAAATACAAAAATTAGCCAGGCGTGATGGTGTCTACCTGTAATCCCAGGTACTGGGGAGATTGAGGCAAGAGAATCACTTGAACCCAGTAGGCGGAGGTTGCAGTAAGCCGAGATCACACCACTGCACTCCAGCCTGGACAACACAGCGAGACTCCCTCTCAAAACAAAACAAAACAAAAAAAAGGGTAACAGGGTGGATCCAAAGTTGCTCTGGAAAGTCAAGTCTCGAATGCCCCAGGAACGTGAAGCCTTCATAGAGCCAGCGAAGGGGGTCTGCGTCCAGGATGTGGAGCGGGTTTGCAAATCTGGGAAGCTACACAAGAAAATGCCACTGATACACACGAGACAGAAAGAGAATGGGTAGAGGCTGATTGGGAAGAGGAATGTGCCTGGATGTCCCTGGTGGCAAGTCTCATTCTACCTTTCCCATGGAGAAAGAGGGAAAGACGAAGGAGAGTGAGGAAAGACCTGGGAGAGGAAGCCCCGCGGTCGTTTATCATCTATGGGGTGGAGAAATCAGAAGTCCCCACAGCCAACTATAAACCCGCATTGCATCCCTCACCCCAGTGCTGATACTACCTAGGCAAGCTTGGGGCAGTGCGCTGGTGGGAGAGGAGGCCAGGCACCCACCACAATCCCCCCAGGGAGTAAAACTCGGGATGGGGAGGGTGACTGCATCCAGGAAGGACCGTCTCAGCCCAACCTCACCATCGCGTCCGTGCGTGTCTGCTGGAAACCGGTCTCTCCCAAGGTTGCCTAATTTTCTGCCTAAAATATAGGCTGACCTGCAGCTTACTCCTTCGATATGCTGTCTGGTGCGGGGGGGGGTTGGGCTGCTGGGGCTTAAGGAGAGAGTTTGGTGGAGATAAAAAAAGTAATAATAATAAGCCTGATCCACCATTCTGGACACCCTTTCCAGCTCTCTGCTCCATGAAGCTGTGTGTGTGTAAGAAAAACAGGGTGTGTGAGTGTGTGTGTGCGCGCACACCAGCAATCAGTGTGGCGAGGCCAGAGGCTTTCATCACTGAAACACTGAGTTCCTGTTTATAAACATTTGCTCACTGTTTTGTTATGTGGGGGAATTAACCACAAAACATGACCCACGACGTCAAGCCCTCCATCTTCACATCCTTCATACCGCATGCACTTTCTCTCTCTACCTGAAAGCCGCTGAGTAGAAAATAATTTCTCTGCAACAAAGCGGGGAATGCCCAGAGAAGAGAAGGCGCCTCTACACAGACTTGAAGGCTTGAAGGGAGGCTGGGGAGACCTCCCACCGGCGATCACTGACCCATGGGGCTGTCTCTGGGAAAAGTCATCACATGGGCCATGGCTGAAGGCATTACTCTTTCTGGGGCTTTTTGGAGCCCCAAAAGATATTGGGACCAAAACAAATGTATCTCAATGGCATTTGCGCGCCATACTGGGCAGGGGGTGAAGGTCTAGTCTGTATGAAGAGGAGAGGAAGACCAAGCAGAACAGAATGCAGCTGAGACCTTGGGATAGAATGGAAGAGGGGATGGATCCGCTGAGAAGCTTTGGGGCTCCCAGGTTGGGAGGACTTATGCAGACTGAAAGGAGACCTCAGGAGCAGAGTTCTGAGGGGAGGCACTGGCTGTTGAGTTTGTTTTCCTGACCATCCTCCAGATAAGATGGTTCTTTCTGGTGAAAGACTGAGCATGCTGCTATTATAGTTTGGGGGCATCCCAACAGCAGGATGCAAGTGTTCTGCGAACCATATTCCACAGAGTGCTGGGGCTCCAAAGTTACCCTGGAGAGCCCGTGGCAGGGGTGGGGTGAGTCTTGCCCTCTGAGAGCCCTGCCCTGCCTTCAAGAAGAGCAGTTCCTCTTCCATCTGCTTGAGGCATTGGAGCTCCTCACTGGATTTCATGGTAAGAATTCAATCACCAGGAAAAGTTTGGAAGCCTCTGGATCAACGATATCCAAAGTCTCTGATCTCAGCTTGGAGGTGCTTTGAGCCTCTGGCCCCGGTGCTCTGCACTGTCCCAGAGAAAGGGGTGGGCCACTTTTGGTCCTAACAAGCAGTTCACCAAGAACAGGGCAACGGCTAAAAGATGAAGGGTGTCCAGACGCCGATGAGGGATCCCAGGCCCTGGAGAAAGACGGTTACAGGATACCAAGATTCCTGGTGGTTTTCCAGGGCATTCCAGTATTAGAGCCCTCACCCTCCTTCCCGAGGTTCTGCGCTGATCCAGTGCAGAAGCTGCATGCACTGGAGAAATGGCTAACTCTGTGCCCAGGGCTGGACGGAGCAGCATCGCAGATCAAAAGGCCGCCACCCCCAAGAAGTCCATGAAAGGCAATCACCCCTCAAAGCAAACGCTCTTCTTTCCAGGACTCACAGAGATTATCAAGTCCCAGCTCTTGCACCCCCCAACATGCCCTTTCCCTTCCTGCCTCATTACTCTGTTGAAGTTCCATTCCTGTTCCACAACCACCCAGATCTCTCCCGTGCCTCTGCCTTCCTTCCCAATGAGAAGCAGGGGGAATGCTGGGTGCCCATTCTTTAAAACAAACAGGAAGTGGGGGAGGGGGAGCTGGGAGGATTGAGGGGGAAGGGAGAGAATGGCATTCAAGGACTGGAGCTTGACATTCTAATGCTTTGGGCAGGAAGGGAGGAGGCCACCATGCTTTACTAGGTCATGGAGAGGCGGAGCAGGCCTTTGAGCACACGCTCAGGCCAGGGCACCACAGTGCAGGTTGCTCAGAGGCTCCCCGGGCCTAGAGCACGGGCATCAGTTTCACCCACTCTGGGCATTTGCTGCCAACTCGGGAATACCCTTCACTTTTCCATTACTTCTGCATGGCAAATATATGTATAGATATTATCGTGTGTGTATGTGTGTGTGTGTGTGTGTGTGTGTACAATCAAAACTTATCCTCTGTAGCGAAAAAAAAAAGTATTAATTATGTTTTGGATTGTCTTCATAGAGATCTGAGAGCATAATTTAAGTAAATACTGTAGTCATGACTAGCAATGCTATATTATTCTTATTTGAATTTTAACCCTAAGAATTTTCCAGTCTGCTAGCCAAACCAACACTTGGGCACATTTATAGTTCTCAAAAGCTAAACTCATCCCAGTGTTCTCCTGACTACTATGAGAGGTTTGGAGTTCTGGAGTTCGGACATGACACGGTTTCCCTGCATGTGTGATGAGACGTGTGTGGATGTGTCAGAAGATCGGCCTTTGGGTCAATGCGTATTTTGGGTGCTGCTTGCTTCTTGCTCCTTTGGGTGTGCCCAAGTCCCATGGCCTCTTTCAAGAGTTCTGAGCAAACCCATTCCTGTTCCCCTGTCTCATGGTTCGCCAGACATTACTGGGGCAGGAGAAGGGCTGTCAGCTGGGGCAGTCAGCAAGAGTGACTCTCTGATTGCCCTGGCTAGGAGCCCCTTCCTGATACCCAGGTAAGAGCAAACTGTTCCTTGAACTGTGCACACAGGGCATGGAAACCCTGCTTGTCAATGGATTGAAATGAAAATCCCAAATTCTACACTTTCTGTGACAAACAAGCCACTGGGCTTCCTTTGACTTCTTCGTTGTTGTGGACTATGATTCATAACAGTTTAGTATGTTATGCAACTAGATAATCATAACTATATGTGTGTAATATAGCATACTCTATATGTATGTAGTATAGCATACTCTATATGTATGTAGTATAGCATACTACATATGTATGTAGTATAGCATGAACACACACACACACAAAATGTTAGGATGGTGTGTTCCAACACAAAGGCATGCACACTCACAACCACACAGCAACAACCCCTCTAAGCGTTCCACAGCCACCAGTGTCTCAATCAGCCTCGGGCCGCCCTATCGCCTCCTCGCCTCCCGAAGTCTGTTCCATGCACTCGTAATTGTATCGTCTGCATTATCGGGCACATTCCTTTTTTTTTTTTTAAGGTTACTGAAGTGAACTAATTTATTTGGTCTGGTCATTTTAGCACCAACAATTATAGAAGAATCGGCCAATTATTTTTATTTTTATTTATTTTATTGTTTTTTTATTATACTTTAAGTTCTAGGGTACATGTGCACAACGTGCAGGTTTGTTACATATGTGTACATGTGCTATGTTGGTGTGCTGCACCCATTAACTCGTCATTTACATTAGGTATATCTCCTAATGCTATCCCTCCCCCGACCCCACAACAGGCCCCGGTGTGTGATGTTCCCCACCCTGTGTCCAGGTGTTCTCATTGTTCGATTCCCACCTATGAGTGAGAACATGTGGTGCTTGGTTTTTTGTCCTTGTGATAGTTTGCTGAGAATGATGGTTTCCAGCTTCATCCATGTCCCTACAAAGGGCATGAACTCATCCTTTTTTATGGCTGCATAGTATTCCATGGTGTCTATGTGCCACATTTTCTTAACCCAGTCTATCACTGATGGACATTTGGGTTGGTTCCAAGTCTTTGCTATTGTATCGGGCACATTCTTGCCAGCAAAGAATTTCCATTTTGACTAGGTGTCAATGGAAACAGCATCTTCTCCTTACCATTTTATACATCTGATAACTGAAAAACTCTCCGAAGACTAGACTCTGGCACCACACATTGTAAATCCTGTTTCCACTTTCCTATCAGCCTGGCTCTGGGGACACGGGCCACAGGACATGTTTATGCTGGGATATGACCTCAGGCCCTGTCCTCCCTGTGGAAATGCCACAAGAGCCAGCACAGGGGGCTGAAGGTTGTCCCTGCAAGCCACTTCTACATCAGAACAGCTGGCGATAGCTTCATACAGGCTGAAGAGACTGCAAATTGCATCAATGTTCCACCAAATTCAAAATAAATATCTCCCCGACTTAATTTTCACTTAGCCAGATCCCAAAAATGTCCAAAGCCACTTCAATATGACAAGAAACTGATGAGGTGTGTGGAGGCAAAGTTGAGGTGAAAAGAGACAAAAGTCTTTTTTTTTTTTTTTTTTTTTGAGATGGAGTCTTGCTCTGTCACCCAGGCTGGAGTGCAGTGGCGTGATCTCGGCTCACTGCAAACTCCACCTCCCGGGTTCAAGTGATTCTCCTGCCTCAGCCTCCTGAGTAGCTGGAATCACAGGTGTGCACTACCATGCCTGGCCAATTTTTGTATTTTTAGTAGAGATGGGGTTTTACCATGTTGGCCAGACTGGTCTTGAACTCCTGGCCTCAAGCAATCCACCCACTTGCCCTCCCAAAGTGCTGGGATTATAGGCACAAGCCACTGCGCCCAGCCAAAAGTCTTAATCTATTTATGTTATTTTTGCTAATTGTACAAAACACATGGTCTTGGGAACTGACTGCTATGGTACCTCCAGGCCCATGCAAGAGATGAACCTGAAATGGAAGGACCCTGAAGCTTAAAACTCATTAGCTTCATACTAAGTCCACCTCTGCATAGGATTTGGCAACTAGTGGTCCAAGGGGTAAGGGAAACAAAGTCTTCCAGCTGCAAGGAAAATCCTACACAAAGGTGCAGAGGCCAGAGAGCTCAGGACTGTTCAGCAAGCAGGGAGAACAGTCATAGGTGAGAAGCACGCAGTGGATGTAGATCTGAAATACTCGGCAACTGCAGACCACAGAGGGTTGCAAAATGTCAGGGTAAGATATCTTAATGTCAACTGTACAGCAAGAAGCTTCGAAGATTTGCCCTCCCGTGGCCTAAGGCAAGGACTACCCCTCTCCAAGCCCTGCTTTAGAAAAAGAAATCTGGGATGGACAGATGGGAGGCAGAGAGACCAGCTCAGAGGCATCAGCAGCTATCTGCCGCAAATCAGGATTCTCTGGGAAAGGAACAACACAGTGATTAACAGAAACACACAAAGACTCATGCGCGAGCCTTGAGGCAGTGCCCAACTCTTCTTCCTCCCCTGATCCCATTCACACTTGGATGTGGCATAGCCCTTTTCTCTGATACCTGGCTGCTGTGATGTGTCCTCAGCCCAGCTTTACCTGTGGGGTCACAGTCTCTGGAACTACGCTCCACACCCGTCACTGTCCTACCAGGGTGGTGACTCTCAGTCACACTGTCCAGGATGCACCTGACACCTGTGGATGTGGTTTCTGCCTGTCCTCTTAGTCCAGGATGCAAGAGGAGGCGGTGGCTTAGTTCAGGCAGGAAGAAAGAGAGCCTCCACAGGGCTGTAGCCTTGGGAACCGGATGGAGGGACCAAGTGGAGAGAAGGTCAATTAGGCAACTAAGTGTATGCAGAAGGCAAAGAAGACGGACACATCAAAGAGGACGCTGATGGCCACAGTGGAAGGAAGAATGTCTGTGTGTTTAGGCTCCAGGAGAAGCCCAGCGCTGCAGAAATTGACGCATCTCAGCATGGGTGTGCTCAGTTGGAGGCTGCGCACATCTCAGATTTGCCTCCAGCACAAGGCTTCATTTTAGAGCTTCGTGTTCTGGCACCTTGGTCATGGAGAGGCTGGAGAATCTCCTTTACCTTCTTGCCCCCCACCACCTATGCTCTCTCCCTGGGTGATCTTACCAGTGCCCTAGCTTTAACTTCAGCTTTGCATGGGGGCCCAGGCCTCTGCTTTGAACTATGCACTTGCTACCTTGCGCTGGCATTTTACGGAGCTTCCTGCTATAGTTAGACATGTTCTTTATGGCCAGTACCCACTCTGGCCAGTCAGTACCCCTGCCACAGTGATTGTTGAATTGTTTTTATTGTGATAGAATACACACAGCATGAAATTGACCATTTAAGCCATTTTTAACTGTGCAGTTCAGTGGCACTAAGTTCATTCACATTGTCGTGCCACCGCCACCATCCGTCTCCAGATTTTTTCATCTTCCCAAACTGAAACTCCATGCCCATTAAGCACCAATTCCCCATTTCTCTCTCCCCAGCCCCTGGCAACCACCATTCTACTTTCTGTCTCTATGAGTTTGACTCCTCCTCTAAGTATTTCTTTCTTTTTTTTTGAGACAGAGTCTTGCTCTGTCGCCCAGGCTGGAGTGTAGTGGCACAATCTCGGCTCACTGCAAGCTCCGCCTCCCAGGTTCATGCCATTCTTCTGCCTCAGCCTCCCAAGTAGCTGGGACTACAGGCACCTGCCACCACACCTGGCTAATTTTTTTGTATTTTTAGTAAGACGGGGTTTCAGCGTGTTAGCCAGGATGGTCTCGATCTCCTGACCTCGTGATCCACCCACCTCGGCCTCCCAAAGTGCTGGGATTACAGGGGTGAGCCACTGCGCCCAGCCCTACTCCACGTATTTCATATGCAATATTTGTCCTTTTTAACTGGCTTATTTCACTCGGCATAATGTCTTCAAGGTTCATCTCTGTTGTAGAATGTGTCAAAATTTCCTTCCCTTTCAAGGCTGAATACTCTTCCGTCATATGGATAGACCACCTTTTGTTTATCCATTCATCCACTGATGAATGCTGGGCTGTTGTGACTAATGCTGATATGGATATGAGTGTACAAATATCTGTTTTGAGTCCCTGCCCTCAATTCTCAGTGGATATACACCCAGAAGTGGAATTGCCAGATCATACGGTAATCTTGTGCTTTGTTTCTGAGGAACTGTTGAATATTTTTACCATCACACCTGTTATACAATAGGTACAACTGCTACTTCACAGCTTGACTCAGGTGTCTAATTAGCATCTCATAGTGGAAATATCCAAGCCCAAAGTCTTGATGGTCCTAAGCCTATTCCTCCCCAGCTTCTCCTACCTCCATAAGCGGAATCACCACACAGCTGGGGCCAGGGCCCTTGGCAGCATCAGCAACTCCCTCTCACTCTGCATCTCCAACCCATCAACAAATCCTATCAGCCCTATGTGCAAAATATATCCAGAACCAAATCACTTCTCACCACCCTGCTGCTGCCACTGGACCCAGCCCACCTTGACCTCTCACCCTCACTATTGCAGTAACCTCCCCAAATAGTTGCTCTTTGCCCTTTTACCAGCTAGTCTTCATGCAGCTGTTAGCATGAGCCATTTAAAATGTCAACCAGATCCCTTCACTCCTTTGATTAAAACTTCCAATCTTCTCATCATAATTAGAAAGAGAAAAAAGACCCAAAGGTGTTACCATGTGCTGTGATGTGAATGTTTGTGTTGCCTCCAAAATTCATGTTGAAACTGAATCTTCGATGCAACGATATTAAGAGGTGGGACCTTTAGGAAATGATTAGGCCCTGAGCACTCTGTCTTCGTGGATGAGATTAGTGCCTTATTCATGGCTGGCGGGAACTAGCGAACCCCTTTTGGCTCTCTGCCTTTCGCCCTGTGAGGAGCAGCAAGAGGCAGCATCTTGGACGCAGAGAACAGCCCTCACCCAACACCAACCCTGCTGGCACCTTGATATTAGACTTTCCAGCTTTCAGAACTATGACAATTAATTTCTTTTCTTCTTCTTCTTCTTCTTTCTTTTTTTTCTTTTTTTTTCTTTTTTTTTTTTTTTTTTTGAGATAGGGTCTCACTCCGGTTGCCCAGGCTGGAGAGCAGTGACGCAATCTCAACTCACTGCAGCCTCGACCTCTTCAGCTCAGGTGATTCTCTTCCTCAGCCTCCCGAGTAGCTGGGATTACAGGCATGCGCCACCACGGCCTGGCTCATTTTTGTATTTTTAACAGAGACAGGGTTTCACTGTATGGGCCAGGCAGGTCTCGATCTCCTGACCTCAAGTGATCCACCCATTTCGGCCTCCCAAAGTGTTGTGATTCCAGGCCTGAGCCACCACCCCTGGCCTAATTTCTATTATTTATAAATTACTCAGTCTCAGGTATTTTATTACAGCAGCACAGATGGACTAAGACACCATGGGCTGTATGAGTGGCCCCTCACCTGGCCTCACATCCTCTATGCATGCCCACTCCTGCCTTTTCCACACACACATTGATTAGGTCCTGCTTTGAGGTCCCTGACCCTGGGTGTTCTCTCTGCTAGAAATTGCTTCCCACAAATCATCACATGGCTTATTCGAAATGCTACCCCCTCAGAGATGGCTCCCGGATGATCCTATCTAGACTAGAACAGCAACTCTCATCACTGGCAGTCTCCTAATTCAGTTTCCAGCTCTTCAGCTACCTAGCACTCCTGCCCTTACAGTACCTGATTATTTACTGGCTGGTTGTTTATTTTCCCCCTAGAGTATAAGCTCCGAGATGGAAGGGAGAGGGTTCTGATGGCTGCTGCATCCCTAGGGCATGGAGTAATGCCCAGCATGGAACTCCCTGCTCTCCAGGAAGAACGCGCTTCCCGTCGTGAGATGCATGAGCACATCTCAGTCTCCAGGGCCAGTTCAGTTCTATGGACACAAGGAAAGGGTGAAATGCTAAGATCCACACCGGAGACACATAGGTGGATTCAGTGCTTTGGGATTCCCAGAGTCTGTGGCCAGTTCTCTTCACCAGTGGAGTCAGAGCCTACCAGGCCAGTAGAGTAGGGAGTGCACCCTACTTTAAGTGCTTTAGGAAAACCTTGCACCCACAAATAGCTCTACCACTAACTAATCTATCACTCTCTCTTAAATTTCACCATTAATAGTGCAATTCTTTTTTACAGGAAGAGGGGAGAGAACTAAAATGTACTCAGTAGTTAGTAAATATCAGGCAGCATTCAAGGTCACCAGCCATCCCAGTGTGCCTGGTCAGAGGGATTTCCTGGGACATTCAGAGCTAAAACTAGGATAGTCTTGAACAAATGGCATAGTTGGTCACCCTACTTCATTTCCTGGTTTAGCTCTCTCATCAACCATATGTGCATTTTACTCATGAGAAATCCTGGCCTTCAGTCATGAGGCCAATGTGGCAGAATTGGAGTCAAGGCTTCCATGGCTCCAGGGTCCAGGTCCTCTCTACCATATCCCAAGGGCCCCCTGACCTCCCTTCAGAGGCAGTAATTCTGAGATAGCTCTGTGCAGCTCTCTCCTCATAAAATATACTCTACAGCACTCAGATCATGAGATATGGAAAAGAATGGATGAAGGCTTGCTGGAAAGGCAGGGACAGATACTTTGCAGGAAAAAAAGGACTTCCAAAATGTGCGTGGCAACTTGGGGTTTCAAAAATCTTTGTTCTAAGGGCCGGAACTTTAGTGCCAACCTGACATTGGGAAGGGGTAAGAACTGATGAAAATAGTCCTAACTGAGAAGCACTTTGAGCTTCTGGGAAAGAGACTGCTGCATTGAAGTGGCCAGCTCTAGGTCACATCACAGGACCTGGGTGGGCATCATTCTTTCTGACGCTTGGCTCCTCTATCCTAGTTATTTGAGATTTCAAAGTAGTCATCTGGTTTATCTCTTCAAGTGTGACCACATAATACACTGTTCAAACAAGGACACTTCTAAGAATGAAAGGGGAACAATTCATAATTAGGCAAGGACAACAGTGGGGAATGGGACTCTGCCCCGGTTAACTGGGATGCCTGATCCCCCGGCCAGCTCTTCTGATCATGAGGAACTGAGTTGTGATCTTATCTTCTAATGCACCAAACAAAGCAGGGAAAGTCCCAGCCGCACGCCATTGCCACTGGGCTCTTCTGCCTCCCTCTGGTTCTGCCCCATGTCCCAGGGTCTAAAGAATACCTTTTCCCCAAAGGTCTAAATACTCCTTTGAG
Organism: Homo sapiens; assembly: GCF_000001405.40. Lineage (NCBI taxonomy): Eukaryota > Metazoa > Chordata > Mammalia > Primates > Hominidae > Homo > Homo sapiens. The sequence continues at coordinate 234,768,555 of NC_000001.11, forward strand.
TCATTTGCATCAAATATCAGCATAGAAATGCTTACTTCAACTACTCTTTCTTGATCACCACAGAGTTTTCTGAGCACTCACCTTGAACAGGGCCTCTTCTGGGTGCTACAGACATTTTCAAGGGAGAGAGACCTCGCCCACCCATAGGCAGTGAGCTGGCTGGCTGGTGGGTGAGTCTGTTGGGGGGGGAACCTGCCCCTCCTTATGTTGCCCCTCAGTGACTGACCACAGGCTTTGGAAAAACCTCTTCAGCAGGGTACCGCTTACTCTGATCTACTTAAACGTTGACTCCCACGCCCTGAGGAGGAGCCGAGCGTGCCAGAGCAGCAGAATGCAACTTTGCTAAGATCAAAGTGCGAACCTGCTGAAGCTGTGTGTCTGAAATTACCCAGAAATCGCTTTGTGCTCACTCGTGGAGCAGAAGTGATGGTGAGCAAGTGTGCAGAGACCATGAAGGACTTGGTGCAGGGATGAATATTGTCTGCAGCTGGTTTTCTCCAGTCCCTGCCAGTGCACCCAGTGTCTGTTTCCGCACTACTGGGGCCCTAGGCTCAGCACAGTGCCAAGTACATAATAGGTGCAAAGTAAATATCAGTAAGTCATTGAATGCTCGTCTCCACGGACGATGCTGGGCCTGAAGTAGCCTAAGTTTGAATCCATGCAATGGACCATGGTCGAGGGCTCACGGCTTCATGATGAATCCTGGAATGTTAGCGCTAACAGTGTTCTTACAGGATCAAATCCAGTCCCAGTCAGTTTCAGCTGAGAAACTCAGGTGTGGGCCCAGAGAGTTTAAGATCACTTGTCCAAATGTTGTGAATGCCAGAGGCAACACTGGACTCAGGTGTTCTGGGCAGTAACCTTTGCTCCTCTCTCCCTACCACATGCCCCCCAGGCCAGCTGGCCCTTCTGACCAGCACCATCTGTCTGATGTCTCTTTGCCATTACTCGGAGGCCTAACCTCAGCACTGACAGGCTGCTTGACCTGGAACCTCGCCACTATGTCCTAGCCATGCTCCCTGACACCCCCGCTCTCTAGCAAAACTACTCCCTTCTTCCTCTGCATGCGATTAATTATCTCATACAGCATCTCTTTTCTTTTCCCACTGTATTCCTGTTGGTTCAAGATGTGTCTGCATTCCTTACCATTTTACCGGGAACAGTGTCTTTTTCATCTTTGTCTCTCCAGTGCCTCAATTGCGCCTACCACGCATGTATTATACAAATGCGCAGCTTGCTGTGTGACCATGGCCCAATTGTTCACCGTCTCTGGGCCTTCTCTTGGATTTATAAAATTAACGGGGCACTACTGACTTATCTCACAGAGCGGCTGTGTCCTAATGTATATATTGTTGCATAAATATCTTGGAAATGCAGTGGCCAACGACAGCGCTCAACAATAAATGCTGTGTGCTGAGAGCAAGTGTTAGAGAACTTGAAAGGAGGCTCTTCTCTCTGTGATGAAAGAAACGGAAGGTGGCTCTGCAGATCCCCTCAGATGATGCACGCTGTGGACCCGAGCACCGAGCCTGGGTGGGGAAGGAAGGAACTTAGGAGAGGTGTGAGGGCAAGGGCGTCTTGTGGAGAGAGCTTGACCAAACCCTGACCCTCCTCTTTGTAGAGCCCCCGGGCTCGTCTGCAGGGTCTGTGCAGGCCGCCTGCCCCCTGCGCCAGCAGGCGAGGAGGACAGCCTCCCCTTCTCAGCAGGACCCCTAGCCCTGCAGAGGGAGCTGGGAGCTGGCTGCTTTTAATTAGAGCCGCTTCTTTCCTGTTTTCCTTCGCGGCTGGTTTCCGAGCTTCCCTCACCCTCTGCTGATTCCCCCAAGCAATTTTTTTAAGCATCCAAACCGTCTGGGATAAGAAAGGAGAAAGCTATCATTATGTGTGTGAGCTGTGCGGTGGCTTCCGCTGGCTTCCCAGACGTTTGGAGGTCGTCAAAAGGCTGGCTCTGCTGTCTGGACATGGCCTGAGGAAGCCTGGTGCCAGCTTTCTGCTTCCTATGCCACCAGCTCTGCTTATGTATATATTGAGCACCTGCTGTGTGCCAGGCCCCCAGATGAGCAAATATAGCGTCAGCCCAAAAAGCTGAGAACTATTGTCATGGCTCTCTTAGGTCTAGAGCTGTGGCAGTGATCACCAGCACGCTGACAGAGGTGTGAACGGAGCACCCCAGACATGGAGCAGGAATGAGAACGACTGGCACGATGGGTTGCACCAACGAGAACCTTACAAGGAGAACACAGCCTCAATCTGGCTCCCGTTCCCTTTAGAACTCACTCTCGTTCATGGCTCGTGGAACCCACATTCATTCGGAACGCAAGAGGCTCCAGAAGGGCTGTCAGATTTAGCAAAGAAAAATGCAGCATGCACAGTGAGATGTGAACTTCAGATAAACAACATATAATTGTTTAGTGTAAGTATGCTCTAAATATTGCATGGGACATGCTTTTTATTATAACATTGAAGGTATATTTGCACTAAAAAAGGGATGTGTTGTTTATCCGAAATTCTCATTTCACTAGGCATCCGGTATTTTATCTGGCAACTCTTTTCCAAGGTCAACAGAGAGTCCTAGACCATAGACCAGAAAGTCCATTCTACCCGACACTGGGCTACAAGAAATGTATATTTGTGGGGATCAGCCACACTGGGAGAAAGATAGCTGTCTCATGTCACCAGGGTAGATGAAGAAAGGGTTCTAAAGCCTAGCAGCATTCATATGATAGGTACCTGGGCTTGTTTTCAAAGATCAGCAATCAAGGGGAAATGACAGAGACGCTGGAGGAGGCTGGTCCTCCCAGAAGCTAGTGGCTTGACCCAAGAAGGAAGAAAATGGCGGCTGCCTTCCCGGACCCAGGCTGTAGGCCGGGAATTCCCAGCTCTTTGATACCGTATTCCAACTGGTATGATCTGTTCGATGCCTGCTCTAGCTCTATCCCAAATATGTGTTATATGGCTTCCATCAATATTTTTTATGTAGTGCAAGCTTAATTTAATCTGAGAGTGGTTTAAGAATACACATACTTCTCAGCCATCAAAAGAACACGATTAAGAATCTCTGTGCTAGAAACTAGAAAGTTCTAGGAGATTACTGAAGGAGAGGCAGGAATGGGAACTGAGATGAAGAGGGCAAAGACTTAACCACCGACGGTCCATTTTTGGAGGAAGTGGCTGAGTGGAGTCTGGAAAAAAAAAAAAACAACAACCAGATAACCTGAAAACCAGCTGGGCTGGAAGCAAAGAGAGGGCCCAGGCATTAGCCCGGCCCTGGGGGCAGCCCAGACACACCCCAGCATTTCTCAGGGGGAAGAAGGCACAGCCTGCTGTTATTTACAAAGCTGTTGTTGAGAATTTTGAGGATCTCTTCCAGGTTCTCGCTTATGTAAATTCTAATTCACAGTGCCCTGGCCCCACATGTCTCGTAAACCAGGCCTGATATTGTAAACCTTCGCCATTCACAGAGGGTTTTAGCTTTGCCTTTGTTCCCCTCTCCAATTTCCCACTTCACAAACCTGGATCTAAAGCTTTGCACGTAGTTGATAGGGAAGTGTCGTTTGAGCAGTTCTAAGAGGCTGTCTTCCTTCTTCCTCCGACCCCCACAGCTCTGGTTTCCTCTTGGATATCAATTATTGGCTTTTACATAAGAAGGCTAATGCATTTTCAAAGCAGGCAGATCACTCTCCCATGTTTTGACAGTTTGGCTTTAGTTGAAATATAATTAAACTTTTTGAAAACAAGAACCTTGAAACTCAGTCTTCACACTGTTTGCAGGTTTTTTCCCCCTCACGCATTCAGTTTTTACTTGCTGCGGCACAATTGATTTGGTCTTCACTTTCTGCGCTCAAAACAAACACTGGGTTTAGGCATTCTGCTCTCCCAGCACCGCATGGCTGAGGGTGGAAAAAAATAACATCTGAAACAGGCCGGGCTTTTGATGATACCTCCTTATGACAGACACATCGAAAACCACCGACGGTGAGTCACCCACATTCTGTGCATACCCTCTCCGAGGAGCAGGAAGTGTGGCTATTTTAAACCCTGAGGCAATGAGAAGTTTTCAGATGCGTCCTAAGGCGCTCCGGCCAGCGCCCTGCATGCACACGAGGGCCTTCCTCAGTGTGGCCCCAGCACATCTGTAGACCTGAGGCGACACACCCAGCCTTCTGCCAGCATCTCTTTGTTTATTCTGCTTGTCCTGGTTTTGCGTTGACACGAGCAAGCCGAGTCTAAAAAACACAGAGCTACAGAATTTATAAAATCAACAAAAACTTAAAAAAAAAAAACAAAAAAAAAAACACACCACCACCACCAACAACAATCGGAGCCTGGCAGTTGGTGAGGGTGGGTGGGGGCGAACAGATGGTGCCACAAGATGTCCTCGGGCGGCTCACTGGGGACCGAGCCTTGTGGCTCTGTGGCCAAAAATAAATAAATAAGTCAGGGCCCAGCAGAAGTGCTTTCACTTCTAACCCAAGTCACTAGCTGTGGGTAATGAGTCCTCTTACTCCTTGTTCCCCATCTCCAAAGGCCAAACAAACAAGTAGAAAAAAAAAGAGAGAGAGTGAGAGAATGAATTGAACTGAAATGAAATGACTATAGATGAAAGATATATATATATATATAAAGAGTGGCGGGGGCGGGGGAAGCCGGGCGCTGTGGCTCACGCCTGTAATCCCAGCACTTTGGGAGGCCGAGGCGGGCGGATCACGAGGTCAGGAGATCAAGACCATCCTGGCAAACACGGTGAAACCCCGTCTCTACTAAAAATACAAAAAAATTAGCCGGGCGTGGTGGCGGGCGCCTGTAGTCCCAGCTACTCGGGAGGCTGAGGCAGGAGAATGGCGTGAGCCCGGGAGGCGGAGCTTGCAGTGAGCGGAGATCGCGCCACCGCACTTCAGCCTGGGCGACAGAGCAAGACTCTTGTCTCAAAAAAAAAAAAAAAAAGTGGCAGGGGGACTTGAGGGAAATAAGCCAGATGTTGCCACAAAAGCAGTTACAAATCCTGACCTTGTTTGCTAAAGGGAGCAGGCTCAGCCAGGATGCGAGACATCTCCAGGTGCTGGGAGCTTCTGAGGATGGTGAGCTCCCAGACCGAGGCAGCAAAAATGGCCTAGAACCCATCACTGTGTGGGGAGGATCCGGCTTCCTTGATGTCGGGGAAGCGTTTCCAGAACACTGGCCACTGATAGAACCAGCGGTCGATGTGGCAGGGCCTGGGATTCAGGCAAGACTCCATTTGGCTGTAATGTTTTTTATCTTTATCGGCAGTTTTCTTAGAGAATGAAATTGTTTGGGAAGTGGAAACCCAGCCTTCAGCATCTTTTAGCACAATGTGTTAAGACTCCCGAACTGGTTGGGAGCTGTATAAGCCACACAAGCATTCCAAATAATACATATTCTTTCTATTGTTGCAGATGCTAACTGCCTCCTAACTCTGATAAAACCTAAAGAATTTGTTGGTGGAAGAAAGTCCTAGAGTTTTAAAAAGCAGCTGCAGAAGAGACCAGGCCGCCTACACCCCTTGGCTTGTGGCCTCTTTACTCCACCTTGACAGCCAGCAAGGTGGCCTCTCTGGTACCTTTCTTTTGCATTCACTCTCCCTCTGTCTCCTCTTGTGACTAGCTGTGGGTAATGAGTCCTGTTACTTCTCATTCTCAATCTCCAAAGGCCAAACAAACAGGTAGAAAGAGAGAGAGAAGGAATTGAGCCGAAATGAAATGACTTTAGAATAAAGATTTGTATACTAAAAAAAAAAAAAGAGTTGGGGGAACTTGAGAGAAATGAGCCAGATGTTACCATGAAAGCAGTTATAAATCCTAACCTTGTTTGTAAAGGGAGCAGGCTCAGCCAGGATGCTGGACATTGGTCTCACCTGGAGAACTCAGGCTTCTCTTCCCACTGTAAGGTCAGCTGATTTGCAGCCTCAGCTCCTCCTGCAACCTTCCTTTGCCTTTGCCGTGTAACCTAACACATTCCCAGATTCCGGGGATTAGGGTCTACACATCTTTAGGGGGCATTATTCTGTTGAGGGTCAGTGGTGTCCTTAGCACTGAGACAGTTACTTGTCTGTCTCCACAGTTTATTTGTTAGGACATATGACCAGGCAATAGTTGCTCTGTATAGTAGAAATACAGTCAAATAATAGTGTAAATTAAATTGATAATACACATTTACTATCTGCCAGATATAAGCACTTCACTTCATGCGTGTTAACACTCATTTAAGACTCATGATAGTTCCATGAGTTAGGTACTATTATTAGCTCCACTGTACAGACGAGGGAAAGTATAGGGTGTATCCATGGTTGGGAAACGGTGGAGATAGTGTTAGAACCCAGGCCTCTGGCCCAGGTTCCAGATTCTTAGCTAATAGGATTAGAAAAATACAGGGGTGTTGCCCTCCAAATACCAAGGACAAGACACAAAGGCAAAGTGCCTTCCTGGACCCTTCTTCCCCACCATGCCCCTGTGGAGCCAATGGCCCTGTCTGTTATATCAAGGCCCTGAACAGCAGGGAAAGGTGACTCAGAGAGTTCTGTTCACCCTACAGGCCTTGACGCCATCCAAGACCTGACCACATGAAGTTGAGCTTTCAGCTATGGGGAGCCAGAAACACACCCTGCCTTGCGTGCTCAGCTTGGACTGTAACAGTACAAGCCCAGTGACAGCTGGTGCCTGGAAACCATCTTGCTGCTGTTTCCTGTGAGTGGAGAGGATCTTCTTCTGCAGAGGAGAGGAAACAGTGTCATCAACTGGGGTGTGTTCCTATGCTTCCAAGGATCCTGGAGTCATCTGCTGGAAGGGGAGACAGTGAACTCTGCAAGGGGAAGTTGGCTATGTATTTTCGTGCCCCTCAGTAGTCAAATCCTATGGAAACAAACAAGGCTGGTCTCTGTAGATGGGACCTCCCACCCACGTAGGGTCAGTTTTTTCCCCAGAATAACAGAGGGAAGGCAGGGCCAGAAACATGGTTTGGGAGTTGCTCTCCTAGAGACCCTGGACTGTTTCAGGGCTCATCGCCTCCTTGGTCCAAGACGCAGTAGCTGGGCCCAGTTGACAAAAGCAGCTCCAAACAAGAGGGCATGAAGAACCAACTCGAAAGCTCCTCGGGGCCCCAGGGAAGTAGGACGGAGAGAACCTCAACCACCAAGTTCCGCAAATTTCACAAGTTTATTACAAACCCCAGAAGTGTTGTTGGGTTGCTTAAAAACGATTTAATTTTTGCAATCTCCCGAAGAGAGCGGGTGCCCCAAATTAAAACTGATGTTTCAAAAATAATAGCTATGAGGATGAAAGACAGTCCTTCTCATGGGAGGGGAGCAAGGAGGTGCACAGAGAAGCACCCTAGTGTCAAAGCTGTAGGGAGCCCTTTCTTGTGATGTATGAGTCTTAGGAGTCTGTTGCCATGATGGGGCCCATTCTCCCGTTATCTAACCAGAATAGTCACCTTCTTGTGATTCACCTAGAAATCTGATTCTTATCAGAACTCTGAGCAACACAAGGGAGGAGGAGGCCTCCTGATGTCATGGAGAAAAGAATGAGCTATCGCATCAGATGGGCCTGGATCTGAATCACAGCTCAGCCACTTATACTTACTTTGTACCCCTGACAAGTTACTTAAGTTAACTGAGCCTCCGTTACCTCAATTGCAAAATGAAGATCAACAGCACTGATCTTGCTTGGTTCCAGGGATGCTTGGTTCCAGGGATGAGATGGTTGTGCTGTTAAGCATGAAAACTGGTACCTATGGGACCTTGACGATAGTTGCTACTATTACTGTTGCTTTTCATGTCATTATTGCCAGCATGAATATGATCCTCAAAGTGGCCTTCCTCATACAATTCTCACAAGTCCAGCGGTAAAGGAATTGAGTATATGAAACTTCATACATGTCAGAGCTCTCTTTGGAGGGTCCAGCGGTGGGGTACCAAGGTGGAGCTCCAGTTACAGCATGTACTTCCCCAGGCACAGGGCACCGTCCTCAACAGCTGGCATCATTGCACCTGCAGCATCTGCCCCTTCCCAGAGCCTCTCTCTTACGCTTTTCACATCACTGGAGAAGCAGCTTGCAGGACCACACCGTATTTCACTTTTACGGTGCAAAGCCAGAAGGTGCCCAAAGGAGAAGCACCTACTCCCGTGGTGAGAAGGTGGGCACAGGTGCAGCTGCGACTCACCAAGAGCCAGGCTGCCAGCCACACAGCCAGGGACACCGCAATGGGGGAAGGGGCAGCAAGGATGTGTCAAAGATATTCCTTTCCAAATGACTTTGGTTGAAAGAAATGCTTCCGGTTCGTAACCTGGCCTCACATTTTATAGCTAAATATGAGCCGGGTGCGTTGATGGAGCCATTTTTGACATATTTCAATTGCACTGATTGCCTGACATCATTCAAGTCACCCACGTTTCCCCAGCACAGGCCACACACTCGGGTAGATTCAGTTATTTTCACGAGGACAGCCTCCCCAGCCCTGCAGAAGTCATTGTCTTTTTCTGGGCAGCCCCTGTGGATGGATTCAGCTGCAGTGACCAGCACACATGGTGGTTAATGGGAGTTCTAAGAGGGAGAGGCCAGTGAAGGTCGGGGCTCATATGGGAAACCAAGTCATTTCCCACCAGGAACGTTTGGCACACTGACCCCTCACCCAGGCAGCTGATATGATGGCTAAAGGGAACAACAAGTGACCACACCCACTCTTGAGAGCAACTGCAAATTGCATGTGGCCACGAGGGTCTCTGTAATCTGTTTCTGTTTGCTAAATGCCTCTCTACCGGGGGCAGTTAAGACACTCGGAGAGTGGACAAACTTGGAGGATGTTGCTCAGTTCCAGAAAAGGAAAAAAACATATTACACGTACATTGGAGGTAAATCAGCCTGACTGGTTCTCGAGAACTCGACGATCTCAAATGTCCACAAATAATTGTGCAAAGTGGAGACCAACAGGCAGAGAATCCAAGTAGATAGTGACAATAGTAAACACTGTGCTAGGCACTATTTTAAGAGCTTTTGTATATTTTAAGAGCTGTTTGGCTGGGCACAGTGGCTCATGCCTATAATCCCCATACTTTGGAGGCTGAGGTGGGAGGAGTGCTTGAGGCCAGAAGTTCAAAACTAGCCTGGGAAACAGAGCAAGACCCCATCTATATAAAAGCATGTTTTAAAAATAGCCAGGTATGGTGGCATGCACCTGTACTCCTAGCTACTCAGGAAGCTGAAATAGGAAGATTCCTTGAGCCCAGGAGGTCAAGGCTGCAGTGAGCTAGCATCTTGCCACTGCACTCCAGCCTGGATGACAGACTGAGACCCTGTCTCTAAAAACAAACAAACAAGAGCTTTATGTATATTAAATGTTTACATGTAATCCTTATTATATAAGGTAAGTACTATTATCCCTGTTTATGGGGCAAGTACTATTATTATCCCCATTTCACTGATGAGGAAATCAAGGCAAGTGAAGTCACATCCCCAAGGTGTGACAGAGCTGGTAAGTGACACAGCTGGGATTTGAACACTCGCTGTCTGGCTTCTGACAAGGGTCTGTGTGCTTAACCTTGAGGCTAAGTTGAATAAATACAGCACATCTTGCCAAGCAAAGAAAAGAATCTAAAGATGTTCAAACTCTCCCTTCAGCAGAGGGCAAAGGGTGGAAAGTAAGCAGCTAGCACCAGGTGAGCGAGAGGAGGCAGGTTGATAAGCCAGCTTCCTTCCCAGGAAACCCCTTCTGTCTTAGAGGACCCTGTAAAACCTTCTTACTTCACCAAAATGAATCTCACAACTGTTGGAAAAACAGAGCCACCCTATCCTGTTCCCCCAAACACTGTCCCCACGTCTATTATGCAAGCGCCTATTACAGCGAGTTGTGGATGTCTCTTTTGTGGTCATGGTTTTTAACTGCAAATGAAAGAAGAAACCCAAGTCAGGAAGCGTGCATCTTACCAATCCCACATTTGGGGGTGCAGGAGACCCCGAAATGTGGGCTGTCTTTGGAAAGAGTAGAACACTCCGCGTGGGGCTGGCGGGCTGCTGCTGGGAAGGATGAGGTATGGTAAGGGCTGAGACAACCCCAAGATAATCTGGGGGAAAATCCTGGCAGGGGAAGGAAGGGAAGTGAGCCATTAGGGGTGACCCTGGCTCCGGAAGTTGAATCTCTCTCTGAAGAAGGACAGAGTGGCCACACGCGGTTCCTGGGATCCAGCCTCTAACCCTCGGAACAATTGTGAGAAAATGCCCAGGGGCAGTTCCCTGTGCTCTCAGAGGCCCTCTTCCAGCACAAGGCCAGCGCCACAGCCAATCATCCTTCAGCAGGTGATATTTTGTCCCAGGCCTGACTAGGTGAGCCAGTCGTTCCTCACAAAACACGCTGAGAGCATCCCCTGGAATTCCCATGGGCTCCCTGGCCTCTCACACCCTGCTGTGTGTCTTGACTTGAGATGGCGGGCACCTCAAAGACAGGGCACACAGGGAAGCATCCGGGTCCCTGGGGACTCCAACAATGCTTCGAGCTGATACCAGGGGAGGAGAGGGTCAGCCTTGGGGCCGGTGGGGGGGTGCGGGGGCAGAGAGCAGGTGCCTTCGTTGGATTCTCAGTCTGCAATTTGCAGACTGAGACCATGAGCACAGCACCCTTCCTCAGAGAAATGATCATAAGACCTACCCCACTGAATGTGGCAGCTGTAACGGGAGACATTTGTACATTTATTCACCGAATCCTTGAGAACTCACTGTACGTTGAGCCCTGGAAGTGCAAGTGTTTTGAAGTCAGAAGAGCAGCACATTGGCTGGAGGAAAGAGGTGGTCTTATCTTAAGAAGCAGAGCTCTGGCGGGTAGACAGGGGAGAGGCCAGGAGGTCCTGCCATCCTCCGGGAACATGTGCCCAGGCAGCAAGAAGCGCAGGAACTGAGGGCCTCCCACATCACTGGGGCACCAGGTAGCTTCTGCCTACAGGGACCACTGCTTGTTGCGCCTTCAGGTAACTTCTCTGCTGTCAGCCCCTGAGATCCCAGATTGCGCTGGAAGAAATAAAAATATTTCAATAGAAAACATAGGTCATTGACATCTTTTGAGAAGGTTGTTCAGAGAGCCAGCAAACAGAAGATTCCCTGAAGAGCTGTCTTTCGTGGGGGAGATTTGCATCTGCAGAGATGCAATCAGGCCTTCTCCAAGACCTTCCCTTGTCCAGATCTAGGAAAGATTAACCAAGAGTCTGACATGTTTAAAGGTCTAAAAAAGGATTATCCCCGTAATCCCAGCACTTTGGGAGGCCGAGATGAGCAGATCATCTGAGGTCAGGAGATTGAGACCAGCCTGGCCAACATGGTGAAACCCATCTCTACTAAAGATATAAAAATTAGCCAGGCATGGTGACACATGCCTGTAATCTCAGCTACTCAGTAGGCTGAGGCAGGAGAATCACTGGAACCCGGGAGGCGGAGGTTGCAGTGAGCTGAGATGGCACCACTGCACTCCAGACTGGGCGACAGAGCAAGTCTCCATCTTAAAAAAAAAAAAAAAAAAAAAAAAAAAAAAAAAAAAAAAAAAAAAAGAATTATCATCTGTTCTCTTTGAGGGCTGCTATCTGTGGGATTTCCTCTGCATAACAAGATCACCTTTGTTAGCCACGACTCCCTTTCTTCCCCCCAAATAACCTATCTTGCCTCCATAACCTGCTGTTCCACCATAGTCTGGTTTGGGCCATGCTCTGAGCCCCCATTCTCTCTGTAACTGTAGGATGGGATGTAAGCTTCTATACCTCAATGCAGATGGTGGGGTAATCACTCCACGGTTCTCCCCCATGCGCATATTGATCTGTATGCCTTTATTCCAATTAATCTCCTTTTGTGAGTTGATTTTTCAGCAAACCTTCAGAGGAAGAAGGGGGATTTTTTTCTTTGTCCCCTACAGCATTCTGTCCCTCAGAGCACCCCCTGAACCTGCCTCAGTAAGACCAGCATGTGGAAAGGGGAGAAATCTAGTACACAGCCTCATTCAGTGCCTGTCCCTCCAGCCTGAGCCACCAGCCCCGGAGAGGCCCGGGCCACCAGGGGATGCATACCTGAGAGCTGCCTCCGGGGCGGCATCCATGTTTCCTATACCCCTGAGATGGCTCACCAGGGAGCCCATGGCTGAAATCTGAAGACAATCAGGTCTGAAGACTTCCTGCTTTCCCAGAACACCACCAAGAGATGGCCACGTCCTCAGGTTCTGCATCAGACTGAAGGAAGCTCAAGGATGTTGGTGATTCCAGTGCTGGCAGAGATCATGGCTTGCTCCAGGCGTCTCTCCCCACTTCACAGTGGCCAGCGAGACACCTTGCATGTGGCTCACCAGAAGAAGCCACGTTTTCTCTAGAGGCGGCATACACATCTGGAACGCGTCTCCCTCCCAAGGAATTTGTGGTGCCTTCACAGGAGGGTGTGTGGCTGCCAAAGGGCATCAGACTGGACTCTGAAGCACCCTGCTGTCCTCAGGCCAAGACCACTTTCCAGCACAATGAAGCTAGAACTAGGCTCTGAAAATGTCACATCAACCCTTTGCATGAATCGGAAGACTGAGCCCCTCGTCTTCACAACTCACTGGCTCTATGACTTTGGAAGAAGCTCTGAACCTCTTGGTGTCTCCAATTCATCATCCATAAAAGGAGTATCATAACACTGTACTTGCAGGGATCAAAACAGAGTCCCAGGCATGAAAATACTGTGAAGTACAAGAGCTATGAATGTCAATTGCTAATAGTTGTATGTGAACCACCTTGAGGGAAGGAGGAGAGAAGGTGAAGGGTGCTTTCACCTATTTACAATCCTGAATTCCTGGACTCTGGGCTGGTGTTTGTATTTTCCAGCTAGCCCAAGATGACATGTTCACTTATGACCATTTGGTCTCTAAAAATGAACTCCCATCTGGAATCCAAGACCGTGGCTGGCCTGAACTCTGGACCCACATCACACTTCCAAGAAGGAAGCTAGAGTGGCCCCTAGGGAACAGCCTGTGTCAGGACAGTCACTTTAAACACCCCTGCTCTCTACATTTAGAGCCTGGAAAAACTTAGTCGAAACCTAAAATGAACTGAACCTTGGCCCGTGGATGTTTCCAAGTAAATTGAAACCCTCATCCACACCATTAGCCCAGTGCTTCTGCAACCTAGTGATGCTTACCCACTGTGACTCCTCGCGTCAGTATACCCCGGGATGTGTGGAGGCGTTTAAAGGGCTGATGACTTAGAGCTGGTGGTGACATTTTGGAACCTATGGTGCCAGCCACCATTAGGGAAATCCTACACTGATTCATTGGCTCTTCTAGGTAAGGGTTTCAAGAAGCAAGGTCTTCTTGGTAGGAATCTAAGAGAAGAGGCATCCTGGTTGTGTTGGACAGAACATGGTCTTTGCAGCCAGACAAATCTTGATTTAGTACGGACTCCAGAATGTCTGTGTAGACAGGATTTGGGGCAGCAATAATCTCAATGAAAGGGAGATGACAGGGAAGCACATATTGAAGCTACATTTTTGCCTCCTGTAGGCTCTTCCGACTTAGATTGTGTGTTTATTTGGGATAATTGTGGAGAAGGGGGCTGCTACAGATGATGGTTACAACGAAAGCCTCCCAAACCACCCCTTGATAATGACACTGTCTGGATTCAAATCAGCATCTACCACTTACCGTCTATGTGACCTTGGGCGAGTAACTTAGCATCTCCGAGCTACTGTTTTCTTATTTGTAAAATGAGAAGAATAATTCCACTCTGGCAGGGCTTTTGTGGGGGATTACATTGGATAACATATGGGAAAGGGCTTAGCACAATGCAGGCATATAATAGGCTCTCAACATATGGAAGTCTCTTTCCTTCTTTCCATCGCTGGTCCCCAGATGTCTCAGGATCCTAATGAAGTATCCAGATGAGGACTGAGATCTAGAAAGTTCTTTTTTTTTAAGTTAGATATTTGTGGGGGTTTGCTTTTGGATTTTGTTGCCCACCGTTAAGTGTATTTCAAGGGGACACTACATCTGCCCTGCACATTGTAAGTCCAGAATACCATGCAGCTGGCCTACTTGAAAGGGAGCCTTCACAGGCTGAACTACACAGGCAGCACCAGTCCTGAGGATGAAAAAGCCACCATAGCAAATGAATTAGGTCAGCGGCTTTCCTAAAGTCTAGAGGCAGCAGAATCTTCCTACAGTGGGATTTTTTAATGGTTTTTTTCTCCTGGTTTTTGTAGTGTGTGTGTGTGTGTTTCCTTTCTCACTGAACTCCTGGAGGCTGGACAAGACACAGGATGATAGAATAGAAGGAAAAAGAAGGAGACATTATAAGTACATGCCCCAGTACCAAGTTCTTTGCAAGGAATCTCTGGAGACGACTGGTGGAACTCATGGGGTTGGCAGAAAACTACTGACTTTGCATGGCCAACACTCATTGGTTCATTCATGCATTCAGGAAGCATTTGCTGAGGGAGGCTGACAGCTCCCTGGGAGATGTTAATACATGACATAGCCCCAGTCCCTACATTCTAATGAGTTGTTCCAAATAACAAGTGTTGGGACTCAGAAAACAATACCCCAAAAGGAAGGCTTAGCCTCAGAAGCAAAAGTTTTTCTCTGATCTTCTCCTGCCCTCCTATCTCTTGCCCCTCATTCTCCCCGAGGCCAGCCATAGAAACCAGAATCCCTCTTCCCCAAGGCGGATATAAAAACCAGAACCCCTTTTCCCCAAAGCCAGCCATAAAACCTAAAATACAACTCTAGCTTTCCTTCCACCTTTCTGTGTAAAAACTGGCCATAAAGACCTCATCTAACCTATCTTATTTGACTGTAGGTCATAAGACCCCCACTCCAGAAAGGATCCTGTCCCATACCCAGAAGGAAGGAATGCGGCATGGATGCCTGGAAGAATCTAGGCAGACAGGCCTTGCTGCGCTTTCTACTCAGTCTAGTCTAGCATTCCATCAGACCCTTTTTGTCCAGTCATATTTCTATGTGACTATCCATACTGTCTTGAACCTAAGTGTAAAAGTGGACAATTTCCCCTCTATCTTTGGGTCTTCATTCTGAAGGCTCCTGTGTATACACATTAAATAAATGTGTATGCCTTTTTTCCTATTAATCAATCTTCTTCATGTCAGTGATTTTCCAGTGAACCTTTGGGAAGAAATGCTGGCTCAATTAGAAATAGAAATTTGCAAGCCAGGTGCGGTGGCTCACGCCTGGAATCCTAGCACTTTGGGAAGCCAAGGTCAGGATCACCTGAAGTCAGGAGTTTGAGACCAGCCTGGCCAACATGGTGAAACCCTGTCTCTACCAAATATACAAAATTAGCCAGGCTTGGTGTTGCCTGCCTGTAGTCCCCACTACTCAGGAGACTGAGACAGGAGAATCGCTTGAACCCGGGAGGCAGAGGTTGCAGTGAGCCAAGATCACACCACTGCACTCCAGCCTGGGTGACAAGACCAAAACTCCATCAAAAAAAAAAAAAAAGCAAGGAAAGAAAGAAAGAAAAAAGAAGGGAAGGAAGGAAAGAAGGAAGGAAGGAAGGAAGAAAGAAAAGAAAAGAAAAGAAAAGAAAAGAAAAGAAAAGAAAAAAGAAAAGAAAAGAAAGAAAAGAAAAGAAAAGAAAAAAATAAATTTGCAAAAAGATCCGCTATTAGACCTAGGCCAGTGGATCATGAAGCCACACACACCACACTTTGTTTCCTTGCAGGGATCCAGTCCCTCCCCTGAGAATGCAGGCTCCTGACTTCTGGTCTCCCACACCCTCGGTGCTATGCAGTGTCAGCCCAGTATCTGGCTCACAGCAGTCCTAGTGAGCATCTCTTGGGGAGTCCCCTTTACCACCTGTGTATTACAGCTTCCCAAGGATTAGGAGTAAGGGGAAGAAGCCATTTAAACAAAATTGCTTTTGAAGCACAGATGGGTTCACAATACAGAAAAAATGGTGCTTAGCAAGAAATGTTTAGGATTTGGCAGATTCTGAAGTTCATTTCACATTGTTTGATGCTTTAAACCAGCTGCTTCTCCCATTCCCTAAACATCAGCTCCCAAGAGAGCAAGTCAGCCTAGGACTCTCCAGGCAATGATATTTCCTTGGATAATATGCAACCTTTTCTGGAAGGTCTGTTCCATCAGCACTCAGCTCAGCACCCATCCAGAGCATCTCACTTCCCTTCTCACCATGGTTTCCCTAACAATGGATTCCACACGCACATACGGCTATAGAGGGTCAGTTCAACTGAGCGTGTTTCCCAGCAATTGACACAATAGATTCCTCTCTGGGGAGCGAAGGAGTCTACTTACCTGGGATTCCCCTTGTCTCTACTGAGCCACTGGGGGCCATGGTACAAGCAGCCAATCCTAAGGACCCTCCTGCTCTCCTCTTGTTGTCCAGCTTGTTTTCTTAGTATGCGCACTACTTGATTTATGGTGCCTGGAGAACCTCAAGCCAACAAGATGCTTGCTCCTGACTTCTCTGATTCCAGGGTTCCTTACTTCCTAGTCTCCACCCCTGGTTCATAAGCAGCTTGAAGGAAGACACAACCAAGACCCTACCTTTGCAACAGCTGTGAAATGGGATCAGAGAATTCCGGTAAAAGTTTGTCAAGCTAAGTGGGATGTATCCAAGGCTTCGTAAGAAAGGAGGCTGGATCTAGCTCCAGAGCCACTTCTGGAGGCTTGGATAAGAATGGGAAAAGTAAGCCTCCCATTTGCAATTCGCAGACCCATGCTGTGTGGTCTTAAAGCCTCAGGATCAGTTAGGAGGCCCCAGGTCAAAATCCTGGCTGAAACTGTGGGCCCAAACACATAGGCTTTCATTATGGTACAAAAAAAAAATGTGTCAAGTGTAGTGGGTGTTTGTTTTGGTTTTCAGAATATTAATATGGTTTAATACCATTGTCTGGAGGGTTTAGAAGAATGACATACATTGCAGAGTTCCTGGCACCTAGCAGAAACTCAATAAATGGTAGCTATTGAATTTCCCCCTTGTCTGTACAGCAGTAAGTCCAGACCTGCCCACTCTGGGCCTGCCTCCTTGGGAGCCTGAAGCATTTTGCAGAGGAGCTGCCCTTCCCCCGACTCAGTCACCTCAGTGTTGGTTGTGCCCCCCCGCACCTGTAACTGGGTCATCTCTTACTTATCGCCCGCACTCAGCAGAAGAAATCAAATGAGTGTTAATTGAGAGCTGGGTTCGTCAAAACTACTGCTCTTTTCTGGTGTGTTTTATTTAAGTGTAAGCCAATCCAAGCTTACCATGGGGTTTCTGTGTAACTGAGAGTTCCCAGTGCTTTGTGGCAGGGCTCGCATTCATTCCAGACATAGCATAATGAACCACAATCTCACATTACCTAATCACATGGAGGCAGCGCGGATCACAATGCCGCATTTGGCATTTCTGTGGTGCGCTCCATCTGAGGAGCTCAAAGGGCTTAAAGAAAACCCTTTCTTTATTTGGGAAGTATTATTATCTGGGTTTTACAGAGAGAGATACCTAGAGGTGAAGTGACCTGCTTTAAGACCACACAGCACGACGTCTCTGGGCTGAGATGGAGCCCAAGCAGCTGACAGGCGCTCCTTGGCCAGACATCACAGGCTCAAAACAGAAAGCTGCTCCCACAGAGCCTGTCCTCACCAGGCCCCGTGGGGGACTCACGGAGGAGACCGAACCCAATAGCAGAGACGAAGACAGAGGGAATTTAAAAGCATCAGCCAGAGGAAAGGTGTGCAAAGACCTGGCTCAGCCTCAAGAGAGCTGACTGCAGGATGAGACTTGCTCAGATAGAACATGAAGCCATGAACTCTGTTCAGCAGATATTTCTCCAGCTTTCTTCATGGATTGACCCCCAGAGAGAATCCTTTTATCACCTTGCTTCTCTGTGACAACATTATTTTTAGTAATAGCCATGAAACGAAACAACAAAAATAATGGATAGAAGAGGAAAGCAGTGATATTTCTCTCTTACTGACCCTTCTGTGGATGGTTATGCCCATAAAATAGAAAAATAAATAATACAGTAAATATTACAGTACCAAAAAATTAGTAGATTAGCACTTTTAACTACATTTTTGTAGTTAACTTTTTTTTTTTAAAGGAAATACGCTTAGAGTTAAATATTGGTCTATTGTAGTCATGAGGAATGACATCATGGTCTCTGTTTTTAACACTTAACTACTTTAATTTGTCCATGACCTAGAAGAAAAATTGATCTTCATAGTTTCATGTTCATTGAGCAGTTGTCCATCTACTTTTGTTCCTGGTTAATCACAGAACACTGTTTACTGATTTTAATTTTGAAAAGCGTCTTTCACATAAAGCAATAGACACATAAATTGTTACAAAAAATCTTAAGCAACAGAATATGTATGGCAAAGATTCATCAAAGTCCAATTTCACAATAAATTCTATAAATTGCAATAGTGCCCACATCTCTGTTTCTCCAGGATCGATTTTGTTGTCTTTCAAATGTCTCCATGGCTGAAAATTATGAACACAAATAAAAATGCCAAGTGATTACACAGATTGGCAGAACTGGAGTAACTCAAGTTTTATATAAAGACACACAGAGAGACAATATCGTGGTAAAATATACAAAAATAAAGCAAATTGAGAGCTTGGGAAGAGAAGTAAGAGGGAGAAGCCAAGCCAGGGAGGGAAAGGCACCTTCAGTTATCTGCACACTGACATAGTTGCTATGGTTGGACCGTAAAGTTAGCTCAACAGTCCAGGCTTCCTGGCACCCGAAGAAAAAAGGGAGATGGGGCCAGTCATGCCATTCATATTGACGGAAAAGCAGCCACTTTGGGAGAGCCCGAAGAACAGCCTGGTGAACCCATGTGGAGGCTTCCATGCAGGGGCTGGCCGAGCCCACGGAGGGATGTCAGGAGCTACAGCACACTTGGATTCTATTTGTTTTCATTTTGGTTTCAGACCAGGAGAAGGTGACCTTGAAAAAGAGGTCCCAGATGCCCTGTGAACAACCGTTAGAAAGTAAGTGATTTAAAAGATTAATTTTACTAAGAAACTAGAAAATTTGTGTTCAACACATTTTAGAACTGAGATTAGGTAAATGGCAATGCTTGACTAGATCCAGAATAATGAAGATGATGAAGAAGAGAGCTGGAGAGCAAGAGGGCTTCACATTCCTTTTCAACTCTGCATTTGGCGGCCTGTACTCCAACATGGCAGCTCCCCCTGCCACGCAGCGGTGTGGGCTCTGGAGTCTGGGTGTGCACAGACCTGTGCCTAAATCCTGGTTCCAGGGGATGTCCCCTGGTGGTAAGGATAGATTGAGTTATCAGACGCCCTTCGTGCCAAGAACACTGGATAATGTGGACAAAACATCTTTTTCAAATCTATTTGAAGGCATCAAAAACCACCAGCTAATAGTAGCCTGTAGTCCCTGCTACTCAGGAGGCTGAGGTGGGAGGGTCACTTGAGCCCAGGAGTTTGAGGCCAGCCTGAGCAACATAGCAAGACCTCTGTCTCCTAAATAAATGAATAAGAATTTAAAAAAAAAAAAAAAAACTACTAACGCAATGAGAAACTAAGGCACTAAGATCCCGGAAACAAGGCGTGAGCGGAGAGGTGCCAGCCACTTTTCTCCTTGGCGTGCATGGATTCCCCAGCAGTGGCTCGGAAACTGAGAAGTTGAGCAGAGTTGCCAGGACTCTCATGGGGCTGAGGCACAGAAAGGAATTCAGAGCCCAGCAAGGAGGAAGAGCTGGGTTAAATACCACTGGTCTTCTGTTGAGACTCCCCACAAAGGGGTGATCCAGGAAGAACTCAGCCTGCAGAAAGCCTGAACCATCTTTAAAGAGCTCAGTTCTTGGTCGGATTAAGGTGATGTAAAATGAACTAATACATATCTAAACAACCCATGAGTCAAAATAAGAATTACCGTGGAAATTAGGAAATATTTCAATAAAAAGGTAATAAAACTAAAACATATCAAAATGTAAGGGATGCAGCCAAAGAATGCTTAAGAGAAATTTAAAACCTTGAATGCTTTACAAGAAAAGAAGAAAAGATGAAGAAACAATGAACTAAGTTTCCATCTCAAGATTTTAATTAAAAAAACAGCATATTAAATCCTAAGATAGCATAAGAATGGAAATAATAAATAGCAGGAATTAATAAAGTAGAAAACAATAATACAACAAAGAAAACCAACAAAGTGAAAAAATAAAAATAAAAACAAGTCTTTAAAAAAGACTAATACAGGGACAGGTGCTGTGGCTCATGCCTGTAATCCCAGCACTTTGGGAGGCCAAAGTGGGGCGGATCACCTGAGGTCAGGAGTTTGAGACCAGCCTGACCGACATGGAGAAATCTGCTAAAAAAACAAAAAAGTAGCCAGGCATGATGGCAGGCGCCTGTAATCCCAGCTACCTGGGAGGCTGAGGCAGGAGAATCGTTTGAACCTGGGAGGCTGAGGTTGCAGTGAACCAAGATCACGCCATTGCACTCCAGCCTGGGCAACAAGAGCGAAACTCCATCTCAAACAAACAAACAAACAACAAAAGAGATTAATACAACCGATAAGCCCATAAGATTAATTTTTTTTAAGAAGAGTCCCAAATATTATCAGGAATGGAAAGGAAGCCCTAACAATAGAATCTGTGGCTCCTAAATAAGACAAAAAGCTGTTCAGAACCAATTTATGATGATAAATGTTTAAATCTAGGTGAAATAGACAAATTCTTTGGAAAACACAACTTATTAAAACTGACCCAAATAAAAAAAGAATATCTGATATAATAGCCTTGTACCTATTAAAGAAATAAAATCCATAATGAAAAACCTTTCCACCAAAACAAAAACAAAAACAAACCTCCAGGCCCAGATGGCTTCACCAGTGAATTCTTCAAAACCTTTAAAGATGAAATAACATCAGTCTTTACAAAAGCTCTTCTAAAAAATAAAAATGACTTCTTGACTCATTTTTGAGAGCTTTATAACCTTAATACCTGACAAGGAAAGAAAATGGTGATTTCTTTCTCCTGAACATGGATGCTAATCCTAAACAAAATGTTATCAAACTGAATTCAGCAATATATAAACAGGACAATACATCACAAACAAGATGATATTTTTTTCCAGAAATGCAAGATTATTTCAGTGTTCGGAAATCAGTCTATGTAATTTACCACAGTAACAGAATAAAGAAGAAAATCGTTGATCAGCTCAATAGATTCAGAAAAGGCATTTGATAAAATTCAACCCCTGGCGATAGTAAAAGGAAAAAAGAAGTATTTAGGAAAGTATGACTAAAAGGGAAATGCCTTAACATGATAGAGTATCTACAAAAAAACCCTCCAGCAAATATCATATAAATGTTCAAATATTGATACTTTTCCCCTAATACTGAGAATAAAAGAAAGATGCTTCCTATCTATCACCACTTCTATTCATTATTGTATTGGAGGTCCTAGCCTTTGCAGTAAAGCAAGAAAACAAATAAAATTTTAAGAAATAGAAAGAAAAAAAACTGCCATTATTGACAGACTATATCATTGCATATGCAGAAAATACAAAATAATTTATAGAAAAACTAACAGAATTAATAAGTAAATTCAGCAAGGTTCTTGGATTGAAATATCAATATACAAAGTCAGTTGTACTTATATATAACAGAAACAAAAACAGAATCAAAAAAGAAAACATTGAAAAATTGGACTACATTAAAATTTGAGTCTTCTTTTCACCAAAAGATACTATTAAGAATGAAAAGAAAAGCCATAGAGAAGACATTTACAATCCATAGAAATGACAAATGATTCATAACCGGAAAATATAAAGAACTCCTACAAATCACCTGGAAAGACAGAAAACCCAGTAGAAAAACAGGCAAGAGACCTGAATAAGCCAGTAGATATCCAAATGGCCAATAGCATTTGAAAAGCTGCTCAATTTCATTAGTCATCAGGGAAATGCAAACTGAAACACATTCATCAGGATGGCAAAAGTAAAAAGAGACCAACAGTATCAAGTGTTGGTGAGGATGTGGATCCCCCAGGACTCTCATAGCTGAAAGTGAACTGGTACAGCCACTTTGCAAAACTATGTAAACAGTATCTACTAAAGCTGAAAATCCACACACCTTATGACCCATCAATTACATTTCTTGGTATATCCTATGCCGAAATATGTACACCAAGACACATGTACAGGTGACCCTTGAGCAACATGGGTTTGAACTGCGTGGGTCCACTTATACACAGATTTTCCTCCACCTCTGCCATCCCTGAGACAAGACCAATCCCTCCTCTTCCTCCTCCTCGTCAGCCTACTCAATGTGAAGATGGTGAGGATGAAGACCTTTATGATGATTCACTTTTACTTAATGAATAGTAAATATATTTTCTCATTCTTATAATTTTCTTAAAAGTATTTTCTATTTTCTAGCTCACTTTACTGTAAGAATACAGTATATACATTCAAAATATGTGTTAATCAATTATTTATGTCATCAGTAAGGGTTCTGGTCAATAGTAAGCTATTAGTAGTTAAGTTTGGGAGAGCCAAAAGTTATACATGAATTTTTTACTGCTCCGACCCTCATTGTTCAAGGGTCAACTATCCAAGATCATTCCAAGTAGCATTATTTGTCATGGGGCAAAATTAAAATCTACTCAAATAACCAGCAAAATGAAAAATGTATAAATAAATTGTGATACATTCATACTATGAACATCTTTATAGTGTTAAAAATGACCAAACTACTTGTACATGAATGACATTAGATCAACATTACAGATGTCATACTGAGTGGAGAAAAAAGTCAGACAAAAAGAACATATAATGTAGAATTCTGTTTTTATAAAATTCACAAACTAGCCATCTAATACTCGGTGACAAAAATGGTCACCATTGGGGAAGAGGAGGTTATTGGAGAGGGTCTGGGATTTTTCTGAGGCTGGTAATAGTCTAGCTCTTGATTTGGGTGGATGGTTACACA
Organism: Homo sapiens; assembly: GCF_000001405.40. Taxonomy (NCBI): domain Eukaryota; kingdom Metazoa; phylum Chordata; class Mammalia; order Primates; family Hominidae; genus Homo; species Homo sapiens. Next base: position 234,791,493 of record NC_000001.11, read on the forward strand.
GGTATGTTCACTTTTATGATAACCCACTTAGTTGTACACTATGCCTGTCTTTATGTACATAATACTTCAATTTTTTAAAGTTTATTTACTAGCTAGCTGTGTGATAGTGGCAAGGTACTTAACCAGCAGAAGTCTCTGACCTCATCCATAAAACTGATATAAACATGACTGCTTCAAAGGATTGCTCTGAAATATAAATGAAATAATGTAGGTGAAAAGCTTAGCACAGGTCCTGGCTGATAAACAATAGTACTTTATAATCACCATTGAGGAGTTTATTTTATTGTTTATTTCCGGGATTATCAGGGTTTGGCCACTTGCAGACAGCAGCCAGGTCTCTTCCTGGCACACCTGTCAGCAGCAAACCTGAGATTTTTCAAGGCCTCCTGGGATACCAGCCTCAGGCTGTGTTTAGGGCTTGGTGTGGTGGCTCACGCCTTTAATACTAGCACTTTGGGAGACCGAGGTGGGCAGATCACTTGAGGTCAGGAGTTTGAGACCAGCCTGGCCAACATGGTGAAACCCCGTCTCTACTAAAAATACAAAAATTAGCCAGAAATCTCTTGAACCCAGGAGGCAGAGGTTGCAGTGAGTGGAGATGGTACCACTGCACTCCAGCTTGGACAACAGAGCAAGACTCCATCTCAAGAAAAAAAGAAAAAGAAAAAAACCGTGTTTAGAGGCCCCCGGTCCTCACACTTGCAGAGGCTCCCCTCCTAATGCCAAGAGTGTTGGGGGATCGAACTGCTTGGAGATGGAGATTGAGCTTCTGTTGTCCAGACAAGTTCATGCCTCTGTGACCCCCCCCTTCCCAGAGGCAGGCCTTTAGGATGCTGAGATTGAGCTTCTGTTGTCCAGACAAGCTCATGCCTCTAGACCCTGCTTCCCAGAGGCAGGCCTTTAGGGTGCCCCAAGGCAGGAAAATGCAATCATGTGATCCAGAGGAAGTCCCATAGAGCTGAGGCATCCCTGAGAGAGGGAGGGAGTTCAGGCACCCGCCCCTGCAGCCCCTCAGCCTCAGAGAAGGGAGAAGGGAGAGTGTCCAAGGCAAACCTGACCTGAGGCTTTGGGTGGCAGGGGAGTGCATAATGAATGCCTCGCTGGAGCACCTCAGTGATAATGTGGGTATTGTGGGGGCATCCCGAGTGGCACACAGACTCCATTCATCCTGTGCACAAACAGGACTCTGCAGACCCAGCTGCTTCTCTGGAAGCCATGGGAGGTTATTAAATATGAGCTACAGCTGCTTTTTTGCCAATTCACATTTTGTAAAGGCTCATGTTGTTTTTGCTCTTGCCTTTTTGACTTAGAGCCCCTGTCTTGGACTTGGCTTTGTCCAGGTATTTCTTCATTTTGAGAGACAGCATCTTCAAATGCAGACATTGCCCAAATCTTTCCTGATTATAAAAATCACCTGGGTTTCTGTTAAAAATACAGATTTCTGGGCCTCAACCCAGACACGCTAAATGCAATGTCTAAGACTGGGGCTCTAGGAACTTATAGTTTTAAAAAGAGTACCAGGTGATTCTTATAATTATTCAAATTGGGAAACCATCCTTCAACCTGGTTCCTTCAAATTCCAGGGAATCTCCTCTGGTAACTGTTCCCATTTGGGCTCCCTTTACTTTCTTCCATTTTTTTTTTTTTAACTCAAATTTCTCTTTTTCTATGCAATAAGCTCTTCATAGTAGTTCCACGTTCTATCCACCCCAAGTTTCTTACCCTTTCCTTTTGTTCAGGCTCAACACCTCAAACTCTAAAGCTGTGGTACCCTCTCTGCAATTCCCATGATGCTGAGATAATGCCCCAAGCCATGGCTTCTCACTCCTATGGGGATTGGGGGCAGGAGGAAATCTGGCTAAATGACATATTATTTAACTCAAATTAAGGTGGATTTCTTTTGAAAACTATCCAATGATTGATAACACCCAGAGGTAACTCAAAGCCGTTCTGCAAAATCACTACAAACTTCCAAAACAGTATTTTGAGAGTTACAAGCACTACCAATAACCTTGCCTTAAAACACCACAATATGCCATTTAAGAGTATTTTTTCTGGTCAGTATTTCTCCATAATCCTTTATCCAGGGGCCACTGCTCAGAATTTGGAGTTAGAACATCTGAGTCTTGTCTGAGTTCTGATTTCAATGTGTGGTAGGAGATATCTCCATCTAATTGGGTTTCTTCATATTTCGTATACACTGATGATAATTTCATATACACTGATGATAATGGCTTACCTGTTTTCCAGAGTTCTTGATCATGTCGTGGGGCTGTAGAAAGAGCCCAGAGCGTGGATGACAGGGGTTTCATTGAATGAATGAATGAGTGACTGAATGAATGAGGTAATGGGTGCCACATCAAGAAAGGCAGTTTTACTAAGAATAATTAGGAACAAATGTTGGATCTTTTTTAAAAAAATAAATCCCATAAGGTGTGAGGCTGAGATCCTGTGAAGTGGTGCCGAATTTGGAGGCAGAGTCCTGCCAGGAGAATGTTCTTCTCTGCTGGTGTCTGTGCTGACCCTCTGCTCAATCTGCTAGTTGCCCAAAAAGACACGTTGGTGATCTTCACTTGAGTTTCTGCTTCTTTTGTCTTTCAGAGTATTGTTGGATCAGGGCTGCCAGGAAGCAGAATTTGATGACAGCTTTTGGGTTTGACTTGCCAGTGAGCACGTTTGGCTGGGTGTAGGGCTTCCGTGGTGTAGCTGGCCCATGGCCTTGAATTTCTTCCAGTGGGCCCACTGCATTTCCCAAATGGACTCTTGCAAAGGGCATCTTACAAGTCAGAGAGTGTGTGTAAGTGTACGTGCATGCACATGTAGAGAACAGACCTCCTCTTGGATGTCCGGCCTTTAAAACGACATCAAATCATCCTCGTCACCATCTGCAAATATGCCTTGAGCACTCAGTATATGCAAAGCACCGTTCTAGATATTATGAGGAATGCAACAAAATAGAGTTCCTTCCATGGCTTTCAGAAATTTATAGACTCGGTTAGGCAGATAAAATCAATAATATCCCATTTATATCAGTCTGGTTTCTTGGTTGCATGCCTTAGAAATCAACTCTGGTTAAGCTGTATTCCAGGTGGGAGGACCTGATAAGCCCTCTTCCAGGTGGCACCAGATGTATGTATCCAGAATGGAGCTTGAGGAAGTGAATCATGCCTGGAAAAGGGTGTGTCTAAGGACCCAAGAGGGAAAGTGTGCACTCGCAGAATATGACTACAAAAAAATATGTAGAACAAATGCTCATCTTTGAAGAAGTGTGAAGGAGAGTGTTTTGACTAGTTGAAACTTATGGAGCTGAAAGAGCAATTTTAAGAGGATGCGAAGGAACTGTTCACGTATGACCCCCTCACTGCCCAGAAATCACAGATGCAAGCCCCCACTGGACACAGAGGGCAGGGTGGGGCCCAATGAGCAGGATGGCACTGATGATGATGGTTGAGAGCCTGGCCTCTGAGAGCAGAAATGAGTGTGCCTGCAAAAGAACTCCTTGCCCTTCAGCAAGAAAGGCACATGGTGCCAGCAGAAAAAGAGGCAGGACCCAAAACGCTTACTTACCTCAATTCGTTGTTCTGTAAAATGAAGATTCTGGACCCTTCCCTGCCAAAAGCAAATGGATGTTGATAATAAACCAAGATAAGATTAGTATAGAGAAAAGGGTGCAGTATATGAGAAGACATGGGATCTGGTGCTACAACCATGATTTACTAGCTATGCGACCTTGGGCAAGGCATTTAACTTTTCCAAGTCTATTTGCTCTTCAATAAAATGAAGTTGGTAATTCTGGGTAGGTAGAGAACAATTGAGATACAATGCATGTGAAACTCTTTGACAAATTATATAAAGTGCACTGCCAGGGTAAGGAACTATGCTTATTCTCCTTTAAAAAATGCATGTGGATGTTGTTATCAGTAAACGACCATGAAGAGTTTTAAGGATGTTCGGCCGGGCGCGGTGGCCCACGCCTGTAATCCCAGCACTTTGGGAGGCCAAGGCCGGTGGATCATGAGGTCAGGAGATCAAGACCATCCTGGCTAACACGGTGAAACCCAGTCTCTACTAAAAACACAAAAAAGAATTAGCTGGCCATGGTGGCGGGCGCCTGTAGTCCCAGCTACTCGGGAGGCTGAGGTGGCAGAATGGTGTGAACCTGGAAGGAGGAGCTTGCAGTGAGCCGAGATCGCGTCACTGCACTCCAGCCTGGGCGACAGAGTGAGACTCATCTCAAAACAAACAAACAAACAAACAAACAATCAGAGTTTTAAGGATGTTCATCAATAACTGATTCCTACGGTTACTTCCCCTGCCTTACACTCAGGCTGCTGGCCTACCCTGCAAAGGTTCTGCTGGGACTCTGCTTGTCTCCAGAATAAGCCAGTGGCCAGAGAATCCTTTGAGCCAACCTCTCCGTGGGCCGGCATGGAGGTGATGAATCTTTTGTATTGACCCAGGAGAAAGCCCCAGCAACAAAGACCAATTTATTTTCTTAGTAAATCACAAAATGTTCCTGCAGCAAATTCCTGGGACTATGCAAAGCATCACAGTCCCTAGGAGGAAAAAGGGATGGGCTGCCTGGACGGGAGCTGAAATATGTCCATCTGGCCCAGGGAATGTCAGAGTGCACCCCAGCTGACCACATGAAACAGTCTCTATGAAATGCAGATGTTTGGTAGGGTTGGGTGTTGCTTCCCCCGCAATTTAAAAGCCTTTCATGCCTGCTGCTTACTTATAGACTTCTTCCTCCCCACACTGTTTGGCTCAGTGGGTTCGAGAGGGTGTTTTGGGGTGTTTGGATAACAGTGCATTGTGGTGGTGGGATTTATTAACAACAGCCATTCTTCCCCACTCCTGCAAGTTGCTGCCTCATAGTCCATATTTAATGTTTAAATTAAGGTGAATTAAAATTAATTTTGTTGGAGGAATTCTGCAGCTCCCGCTTGAGATAAGTGGAGACACCCTGGGGTGATATAAAATTGAGGTTAGGAATTGCTGCATTGGAGTGCTGTGCTAATGAGGTGAAGGTCAGGGGTTCAATTCCCTTGTGAAGGGAGCAGTTAATTTCACTCTCCCTCACGGCCTCAGATTCCACCCTTAACCCTGGCCATCTGCCTCCAAGAGGAGCCACTGGTCACCAGCAGGACAAAGTGAGATAGAGGACCAGATCTATACAAATCCATCAAACCCGTTAGAATGACAACCCAAAGCATGACCCATGAGTAATGTGCCAGGATTTTTAATTTTGCAAATGACAGCACTATTATATTATTACTTTATATTAGAGTAAACATGTACAAATATGGACAATACCAATGAATCAGATGTCATGGGTTCCAAATTCTCTAAGGCATTACTCTTACTTCCCAAGTGTTTAGCTAACTTGTTAGAGAGACAGCTTAATAAATGTATTGTGTATATCATGGTCACAGTCAATTCTTCTTGAGCCTTAAGAGGGAGAGAAGTGGTGTGGATCTCTCCAAACAAAAGATAGTACCAATATCACTCATATTTAGTTTGGAAAAGATGATACAATTTAGGGACAGCAGATTGCCCTCCTTAATTATGTTTTTCTTTAGCTAATAGTAATATTAGTTTGCATTCCCCTGAACATGTTGACGGATGGCAGAAAAGAGAGCCCAAATGCTCAAAAAGGGAGGAAGTTCAGGATTAAGCATTTGTCAGGGATAATCCACAGAATAGAGATAATCCAACTTCATTAATCAAAAGCTATCTCTATCCTACTAATTATCAACTTACCATTGTCCTTGTTAGAAAATAGAATTTTAGGCCGTTGAATTTTCTCTAATTCACTCCCCTCTCTTGTGTATCTAGGTTCTACTCCAGCCCAAAGGCCAACCTAAGTGACACCTTCTAGCCAGGGCAACACTGGCCTCCGCTGCCTGGGGCCTTCTGCAGCACTTATGGTATATGCTAAATTGTGGTTTAGAAAGTGTGTTTCCTTAGTGCTTGAGGGCAAGGCTCAAATTTTTAGGTTCCTATATGTCTCACAGAGCCTAGCACAACACTGAACATCCAATAGGTGCTTAATAATAGCATGCTCATTAACATTGACAGACTAATTACAGTAAGGAATAATGAAGAATTACCACCCTCTTGCCCCATTTGACAAAATTCAACACCCATTCATTAGAAAACCTCTCAGAAAAATAGGAATAGAGGGGGACTTCCTCAACTTACTAAAAAGCATCTATAAAACCCTATAGCTAACATTATACTTGATGATGAAAGGCTGAATGCTTTCCACGTAAGATCAAGGAGAGGCAAGAATGACCACTCTACCACTCCTATTCAACTTCCTACTGGAAGTTCTGCCAGTGCAATAAAATAAGAAAATAAAATAAAAGCAGATAGTTTGGAAAGGAAGAAATAAAACCATCCCTATGATTGTGAACATAGACAATCCCAAAGAATCTATAAAACAAACCAAAAAAAAAAACCCTAGAACTAATGAGTTCAGCAATGTTACAGAATAAGAGATAAACACATGAACTCAATTCTATTTCTGTATACTGCAATGAACAAGTGGACACCAAAATTACAAATGCAATGCCATTTGCAGTCACTCAAGAGAAATGAAATACGTAGGTGTAAATCTAACAAAATATGTGCAGTACTTGTGTGCTTAAAATTCCTACAAAAGAAACCAAATAAGAGCTAAAATACATGAAGAAGCATTACAAATTCATGAATCAGAAGACTCAACAGTAAAGATGTCAATTCTCCCCATCTTGATATATGGGTCAATATAACTGCAAACAAAATCCCAGCAATATTATTGCATAGATCTAGACAAGATTATCCTAAATGTATATAAAATGGCAGAGAAACTAGAATAGCTAAAACAATTTTGAAAAAGAAAAATGAAATGGGATAGATTAGTCTACCTAATGTCAAGATTTACTGTATAGCTACAGTGATCAAGGCTACATGCTATTAGTGAAGGGATAGATACACAGACCAGTGGAAGTTAATAGAAATAGGCCCACGCAAAATTTCCAACTGACTTTAGATAAGGGTACAAAGGCAATTCAATGGAGGAAAGATACCCTTTTCAACAAATGGTATGGAAGCAATCGATATTCATAAGCAAAAAATAAATAAATAAACCTCAATCTAGTCTCACGCTTCATGCAGAAATTAACTCCAAATTGATCATGGATTTATATGTAAAACATAAAACGATAAAACTTATAGAGAAAAAAAGAGAAAATATTTGAAAGCTAGGGCCAGGCAAGGAATTCTTAGACTTGATGCCAAAAGCATGAGCCATAAGAGGAAAAATGGTTAAATTAGACTTCATCAAAGTTAAACATTTGCTCTATGAAAGACCCTGTTAAGAGGATGAAAAGTCAAGCTACAGACTGGGAGAAAATATTTGCAAACTGCCTATCTGACAAAGGACTAGTATGTAGAATATAGAAAGAACTCTCAAAACTCCACAGTAAAAAAAATAAAAAATAAATAAATAAGAATTTTTAAATTTGAAAAAATGAGAAAAGACATGAAGAGATATTTAACTGAAGAGGAAAATATACAGGTGGCAAATAAGCATATGAAGAGGTAATTTAAAATCATTAGCCATTAGGAAAATACAAATTACAACCACAATGAGATATCATTACATGACTATTGAATGGCTAAAAGAGTGACAACCACAAATGCTGGCAAGGATATGGAGAAACTGGATCCCTCATACATTGTTGGTGAGAATGTAAAATGGTGCAATCACTCTAGAAAACAGTCTGACAGTTTCTTATAAAACTAAACATGCAAGGCCTGTGCAACCTGGCATGCACTCCTGAGCATTCATCCCAGGAAAAAAAAAAAAAAAAAAAAACTTAGGTTCACACAAAAACCCACATGTGAATGTCTGCAGCAGCTTTGTTTGTAATCCCCCCAAAGTGGAAAAAACCAGCTGCCCTTCAGGTGGAAGGTGAGTGGTTAAACAAACTGCAGTACATCTCTATCATGCAATACTACTCAGCAACAAAAGAGAAAACTATTGACACATGCCACAACCTGGGTGAACCTCCAGACGGTTGTGCTGAGTAAGAAAAGTCAAGGTTGCATGCTGTGTAATTCCATTCATATGAAATTCTTGACATGACAAAATTATAACTTTAGTTATACAAAGAACAGTTTAGTAGTTATACAAAGAACAGTTTAGTAGTTATACAAAGAACAGTTTAGTAGTTGTCAGGAGTTAAAGATGGGGCAGAGATGGGGAGAGTAAGAGGACGCAGGTGCGGCCACAAAAGGGCAACGTGAGGGACCTTGGTGATGACGGACATGTTCTGAATCTGGACTCTATCAATGTCAGTGTCCTGTTTGTGAAATCATACAATAGTTTTGAAGGTATTACCTTTGGGAGAAACTGTATAAAAGGTACATAGATCTCCACATCATTTCTTACATTTGCATGTGAACCTACGATTTCTCTCAAAATGAAAAGTCTAACTAAATAATAATCACCCTTATCTGTCCATGCTGGAGAGAGGTGTTACGCTGCCAGAGTTTCAGATCTGCTCTGAGCACCATGATCTGGGTTTACCATCATCCTCATAATATACTCCCTCTTGTATTCCAGATAGAAACAATAAGTACCGAAGAGTCAGCAAGCTGTGCTCAGGAATTGCACCAAAATGATAATGCTCCGGGTGTTGAATTTGCCAGCACGGGGACTCTGGGTGGCAAATAGCGGCCGTGCAAGTACGGATATAGGGCAAGGAACTCAATATGGAGCCAAGTTTCAGGAGGAAGATCAGAGAATTAGATTAGGGAATAGATCTAATCTATTAGAGATTAGCAAGCAAGCAAGCAAGAGAATAATCAGGAGTCTAAAAGTATTTATTGATCAGGAATAAGGGCTGGGCACCTCACTTGGGACTCAAGGCCCTGACTTGGCCAAGCAACAAAGATAACACTTAAGGCCATGCTCATGGTAGGCAGAAGAGGCATTCCCTTATATATCTCCTAGTTCATTCAACAAATGTTTAGTGAGAAATTCTCAGAGGTCGCTCACCAAGGCAGGTGCCCAAGACACAGACCTGGTCAGCTAAAGTTCCCTGGCTTCTAGAGGAAGCAGAATAGCAAGAATGCTTGGGAACACATCAGGAGGAACATCATTTCCAGGGTTGTGTAGTCAGATAACACGTTTTATGAGGAAGTGGTGTGGAAGTGTGGGGTGCAGAGGAGGCGAGATTCATGCAGAGAGAAGGTCTCATGGCCCTGAGCTGAGAGGTTACAGGACCATTAGCACAGCTGGGGTTCTTCTGTAAAGACGGGAAAGCAGAAGTCAGGAATTGAGGGATACGGCTGGTGTTTGTGGGCTATGCTGGTTATGAGCAAAGGCTCAAGTCAGGGAAATACCACACAGCAGGCGATTGTGGACACTCTCACTCCATGGATCACAAAGAACCACAGGCCAAGATAGGCCAGAACACTGGATCATCTTTCCCTGGAGGAGTCAGAGCCCTATAATCTATGAGGCCCTCATGGGTTCTTTCATCCCCAGAGCTCCAGGTGTAGCTGATGATCCTCCTCCCTCTGCTGGAACCCTCTGACTCTCAAATAGGCTTCACACATGAAGCCGGGAGATTGTTTTATACTCTAAATAACTTTCTGTTTCTACAACAGATGGGAAGACTGTATCTTCTAGCCTAATTGGAGGCTCACAATTCCAGGGAGAATTTCGGCTGGGCAGGAGCTCTCTTCCTCTGAGATTTTATTTCCCAGGGACATTCCATACTTGGCCCATGACAGAGGCTGCAGTTGCCCAAGGGAACAATGCGTCAAGGGCCACTCATCCTTTGGAAAGCAGAAGTCCAGATACCAGAGTAAAACCATAACTCATTAACACTTCCAACAAGTATTTATTATGTGTTGAGCAATCTGTGCCAGCCCTGATGACCTAATGGTGAGCAAAACCATGTTCTGTCTTCCTGCAACCTGCAATCTGGCAAGTGGGTCAAAGAGCCTAAAGAAGGCATTAGTTAGAATACAGGTGCAGCAATTCTAACAGAACCTCAAAATACTAGGGTTCAGATAAGATGGAACTGCATTTACCTTTCACAAGGGTGGGCAGTCGAGACCCAGGTACCTTCCACCTTGTTGCTCCAGCATCCTGAGTGTGTGGCCCTCATCCATGTGGTCCAAGATGGTTCACCATCACCAAGATAGCCACACTCCAACAAGGAGGAAGGAAGAGAAAGGTGGGAGAATGGAAGGAATAAACCCCTCTTTTCAAAGGTCCAGAAGTCACACCACACTGAAGCTCAAACTCTTCTTGCAGAAATTAGTCCCATGACCACACCAGCCTGCAAGGGATACTAGGGAAAGCAGTTTTTAAGTAGACAGCCGTGTGCCGGACACTCTTTCAATTATCGTGGAAGAAGGTGAGCATGGATACTGCAGGTGAGTAGCAATCTCTAATGAAGCAGGTGGGTGAGTAAAGAGAGGACACAGCTCTCCGAAAACAAAAGCAAATAAGTGATCAGAGCTGAGCAGAAAGGGAAAAACCCACAAATGCACAAGATCTAAAGGGCAGGAGGAAAGGAGGGGAAATATCAAAAAACAAAGGGAACACAGGTTCCGAACCTGGGCTTTGGAATATCTAGGCACTGCATCTATATTTCCTCCCAAGACAGTCATCACCCCACACGTACAGGGGGGAAAGGTATGAAGAGAAGAGTGTTTGCCTGCAGCAGGTCTGATGAAATGAGCTCCTCCAGGGCTCACGCTTTTAGCTCCAGACTGTCCATTTTGAAAAATCACTAAGAAGACTAATGGTGCTGCCCATCAGTAGTGCCAACCTATTGCCTTGCCAACCATCCTAATGGCCACAATGATGCTAATGATGATGGCAGTGTTGATGCTGGATATGTTATTTGTCTCACTGGAGCAGCAGTGGATTCCCTTGACATCCTTGGCTGAAACGTGCAGTGAAGTAGAAACCTTAATTGGCGCAATGCTGGTAGGCAAGGGGGAAATTCACAGCAAACCTAAGCCCTTCCTCTGTAGGACGGGAGGCGAAACAATAGCAAAGGCACTCTCTAAGAGTGCATGGTCCTAGGACTCTCAGAACGTGCTCATCTCCCCTCACTCAGTCCCCAACATGTTTCAGGTTTATTTAGCTTTTCATATTTTCATGAAAAAGGCACAATAACAGCCAAGTACATTTTCCAACCATTGAGTTCTACCCAGTCTGTGCCAGCCACTGTGCTGAGTGTTCAGCAGCATTTCGAAATGCTTTCATGACATCTCCTTTGGGTCTTTACTCTGTGAGGTAAGGGCAGCAGATATCAGAGACATTTCCACGTAACACGGAAGGAAAGCATGATGGGTGATTTGTCCAAGATCGCGCAGCCAATCCACAGCCAAGGCTGGTCCAGTTTCCCTCCTCCCTGTCAGTTGCATCTGCTGAACCCATCTCTTGTCACACAATCCAATTTATTTCGGGGATGACTTCTCCAGTGCCGCTTGGTGCACTGCACAGTGATTCTCTAATATAGGTCAAATCCCACGACAGGTATATTTCACTCCTTCTCCCCTCTTCCCCTCTCCTCCTCCCCCCTTACCCCTCCTTTCCTCCCCTTCCTCTCCCTCACCCCCTTCCCCCCTCCTCCTCCCCTTCCTCCCCTTCTCCTCCTACCCCTACTCCCCCTACTCTCCTCTTCCCCCTCTCCTCCTCCCCCTCCTACCCTCTTCCCACTCCCCGCCTTTCCCCTTCCCCCCTTCCTCCTCCCCCTCTCCTTGCTTGGCTGCAGCCCACCTGCCCGGCTCTCCTCCTGCCTCCTTGCTTGCTCCCTATCTCCTTTGCAGGTTCCTCCTCTTCTCCCCAAACACCTCAGACCTCAGTCTTCAGACCTCCTGCTTCTCTGTCCACACTTGCTGCCCCCATCAATGAGCTCATCCAGAGTCATGATTGTAGCTGCCTCACCAACACTGATGATGCCAAAGTCCAATCTCCAGCCCACATCACCCCCTCAACTCCAGGCTCAGAGAGCCAGCCAGCCACTTGTCTTCTCCACTGGAATGTCTACCTGCAACTCCAATGGATTGTGTCCAAAACAGAGTCCCTGATTTTCCCTCCCAAATACTGTTCACCCCCAACCCCCAGCCATCCTATCTCAGGGAACATGATATGGTTTGTATCTGTGTCCCCACTCAGATCTCATGTTCACTGTAATCCCCAATGTTGGAGGTGGGGCCTGGTGGGAGGCGATTGTATCATGGGGGCAGATTTCTCATGAATGGTTTAGCACCATCTCTCTTGGTGCCATCCTGCAGATAGAGAGAGAGTTCTCATGAGATCTGGTTGTTTAAAAGTGTGTGGCACCTCCCCCCTTGCTGTCTTGCTCCTGCTCTGGCCATGTGACATGCCCACTCTCCCTCTGCCTTCCACCATGATTGGAAGCTTCCTGAGGCCTCCCCAGAAGGAAAGCAGATGCCAGCACCATGCTTCCTGTACAGCCTGCAGAACCGTGAGCCAATTAAACCTCTGTTCTTTATAGACTTCCCAGTCTCTGGTATTTCTTTATGGCAATGCTGGAACAGCCTAATGCAGAACGTTAACTCTTTTTTCCCAGTTGCTGAGGACAACACTTGGTCTGGCACCTCACATCCAATCTTTGCCAATGTTGGCAAATCCTACTGGCTCTATTTTCAAAACATTTCCAAAACCTGACTCTGCTGCTGCCCTGATTTAGACTGCCATCCCCCTTGCCTGGACTAGCCATAGCCTCCTAATCCATGCCCCTGACTCCACCCTCATCCCTCAGTCCACTCTCAGCCTAGAGCCCAGAAGGACCCTGCAGAAACTGAAATTGGACTATGTCACTTCTCTGCTCAAAGAATGGCTCCTGTATCCTCAGGATGGCCTCTGGGGCCCTCCATAATCTGTCACCCCCCAACACACCCTTACTCTGTCTCATCTTATCTTCCCCACATCCCCTCCCACCTGCAGCAGCGCTGGTCTTCGTGTTTCCAGAACACTCTGGCCACCCTCATGCTTGGGTCTGGGCCTAGCCCCTCTTCCCGGAGGTCTCTGCCTGGCCAGTCTTCCACCTCCTTCAGGTTTGTTTGCAAATGTCACCTTCATGGTGGGAGCTTCCTCAGCAGTAGGCATATCCCTCTGCCCACCAGCCCTTCCCCTCCACCTTCTCCACTTTTCCTCCTTGGCACTTAACAACCGCTGGCATGCTGTGTATTTTATCTTGTGTGTTGCTCTGCTTCCCCCATTAGAAGTGAAGCTCCTGGAGAGCAGGAATTCTCGTCCATTTTGCTCACTGCTATTCTCCCGATACCTGGAATAGTGCCAGGGGCTTGGCCTATAGCAGGTTGGCAATGAATATTTGTTGAATAAATAAATTAAATGAATGGCTTTACCCCATTCTAGCCTTGAGCAAGATGCCTACTCTCTCTGAGTGTTAATTTTCACCTCTGTGAAAGGAACATGACAATGGCCATCCCACATCGTCCTTATAGGGATGAAAGATAGTGTGTGCAAAAAAACCAGGGCAGTGCCTGATGGGACATCATTCATTGCTATTGCTATGATTTCAGAGGAAGCTTGAGCCACTTAAAACATGTAACCCAAACCCAGTAGATGGAGATGGTGTTGTAGATCTCAAAGCCCTCTTGGCCTGGCTGACCTCCAGGTTGGTAATCACTTTCCCTGCCGGAGGAGGGGGTTCCAAGCTAGTAAGGAGCCTCCTTGCCACTGTGTTCAACAACTCACTTGCAATTCATCCATCCATGCAGTCAACAGTATTGACGGTATCTCAGAAGCTGGGCATTCACAGACTTCGGGTCTCCCCTCACGGAGTCCATTGCCCTTCAAAGGACATGAACAGAGAGAGCTGACGTCAGAGAATGTGATCAGCTCTGGAAGATCAGGGCCAGTCTGTTGCCTGCTCCCACCCACATCTCCACCCTATAGCCTGGCATACTCAGCATCATCTCAAGGTGCCAGACAATCATCAGCAAAGCAAAACAAAAAGTGAACAACATTGGCACGTCCTGACAGTAAAAATGTCAGCTGAGGAATTTGGCCTCTTGTCTTTGAGACCATAAACAAGAGCACAGACTTTCAAGGGTCCCTCACGGTATCAGGGCTGAGTGCCTCTACCTCAGGGCCTCCCCTGCAGGCCACAGGCTTGCACTGAGGTGAGCTGGATCCAAAGGCAATGAAGGGTCAGAAGGAAAGAGGTCCTGTGGGCCTCTCTCAGCCTCTCCAGGTCAACCAAGAACTCACGGGAGCTTAAACAAAGGCCGAGGATGCTCTTGGCCTGGACCAGCCTCCGTGATTGAATGGGAAGGGCACCCTGCATTCTGGAGTTTCTGGACCACAACTTCCTTCCCCCGCTGTCTCCTGAGGGGCAACTTCCGGCCAGGTTCCAGAAGAGTCATGTTCAGGATCATGGAGAAGGACAGGCTCGAGGCTGGAGCCCACCCCCATGTGCCTTGGCCCTGCTCCAAAGCGTACCTCCACCCCTTCACCTCTCCGTTGCCATTTCTCCTGGGGACGAAGTTTTCCCTCAAATGGGTGCTCCTGAAACTGATTCACCCAAAGGATGTGGGAGGGCCTTGGAAGGGCCTTGGGTGAGAGGGCGTTTGGCTCCCCTGTAAAGGCTTCAGCAAGGAGTGAATCCTGAGACCATAGTGGGCAGGGGCGGGGGCAGGGCTGGCTCTTCCCTCTATGCCAAGGCACAGGAGAGCCTGTGTTTGACTGGGGTGTTTTCCCCGATGGTGGCCGAGCTGCCAGCAGTTCCTGCAAGACCCCACTTGATGAGGCAGGGCTGAGAGGAGGTGATTAGGAGGTGCAGATTTCAGGTTGGCGAGTGGCAAGTGGCAGAACATTCTGGCCCCTAAGTCCTCTTGTTGGCATGCTCGAGTGTCTTTTCTCCCAAAGAGCTCTTCCACGAGCATGTCCAGAGAGTGTCTGCCTGGCCCCATGACCAACTCTCCTTTGCAGCAGTGGAGAGGGGACAACTTCCTCCAGGGAGCTCAGAGGCTTTCCTGAGCCACCCCTAAAATGGCAGGTGCTCCTGGGACACAGTCTGTATCCTATGACCTCAGGTCACCACATCACACACAGGGCCTGTTCTGAACTCACCAGCTAGGCTTCCTTCGGAGCCACACACGCAGACAGTCTCCTCAGCTGGGAAATGCACCCCCAGAGAAGGCCAGGTGTGCACATGACAGGTAGGGGCTGGGGAGGAACCCCAGCTTACACCTTCACCATCAACCCAGGATCAACAATGTGGTAAGAGCTAGGGCCTTGGATGCAAGGAGACTGTGCTGGGATCTTCACAGCCACCTGACACTGGACAAGTGTCACCTCTTTGAGTTTCATCTGAGAAATGGAGGTGACGATGTGACAGTGTTGTTGTGAGGCTGGAGGAGGTACCATGTGTCCAGCATCTACCAGTGCCAGGGAGGTAGGAATTGCTTGAGAGATAATGGACACCGCCCTTACTCATGTGGGGAGAAACGGGAGAAGGTGGCAAGCCATACCCCAAGCCACGTGTAACCCTGATGTGTGGGGAGGCTTCTCTCTTGTTGTCCACTGCAGAGTGCACGACCCCGCCTTCATTTACCAAACCCCAAAGTATCCCTGCAGGCCCAGCTCCTTCTGTGCACCTGAATTCCTGGGGCAGAGCCCACGCCCCTCCTGCTGCTTCTGCTTTGGACACTGTGTGTTTGCATTCTGAGTGTTTGCATTTGTCTCTCCACCTGTCAGCAACTGCTTGGGGATAAGGATTCTGCCTTGCTCAGTGCCCCCTCCTCAGCTCCCGTCCCCTTCCCCGGTGCAGAGGTGCCCAGTGAACGACAATCTAGCCCTCAGCCCCGGCTCTGTCTCAGAAGGTGCCAGTAGCCCCAGGGGTGACCCAAGGCACGGAGGCACATCTGAGGAAGGCCGTGGCAACAAGGCAACTTCTTCTTTCCTCCCTCCCTGTCCTGGTCACTCACTCTTTTCATTCCTGTGGAGCGCTGATGGCTGGTGAGATCGTTGTTTGTCAGCCAGAGCACAGACGACATGCAGGAAGGGCAGACGATATGTCAAAGGTCACCCGCTAAACCCACGGCAGAACCAAGATGAAAATGTGTCACCGCCTCAAGTTCAGACCAGGGATTGGCCTACCCCACACGAGCTCCATGAACAACAGACAACCTCGCACCATTCAGAAAAGATGGTGGACGCTCCGAGTGCTCAACTCGGGTCACCTCCTTGGGCAAAGTGTCTTGTCTTTAAAACTGGAACCAAGCGAGGGTATGTCCAGTCCTGGCTTCAGCTGGGAGTGTCCTGGAAGGCTCTGCCTGACCCCACGTTGAAGTTAGGTTTCCCCGACTCTACCCTGTCACGTCTCCCTGTGGTTTTCTGTGACAGCACTTGTCACATAAATCAATGTCTGTTTTATTTGTAAAATTATTTGTTCAATGTCCAATTCTCCTCCACACTGATAGATAGGAGGACAGGGATGTATCCAAAGGGTTTAGCATACTACCGAGTGTATAATAAGCTCTCAGAGTATGCATCCAACAAGTAGTTATTAAGGTCTTCCACATGCAACATATTGTTCTTGGTGTTAGCAGACTAAAATGATACACAGGTGGATTGATGGAGAGCTTGTTAAAATAATACAAGACGCCAAACTGGGCTATGTGACTGCAATGCTTCCTATTGCTGCTGTAACCAATTATCAAATTTAGGAGCTTAAAACAACATCAACTGACTTGTCATGAAGGAAAAATCAGTCTCACCGGGCTAGGATTGAAGCGTCCAGCAGGGTCAGCTCCTTCCAGAGGCTCTGAAGGGAAAATCTATTTCCTTGCCTGTTCCAGTTTCTAGAAGCTGCCTGCTTTCCTCTTCTAGATCCTCCCTCCATCCTCCAACCCCTCGCGCTCTGATCTCTGCTTCAGCCATCACGTCTCCTTCTCTGACTCTGACCCTCCTGCCTCCCTCCCGTAAGGACCCTTGTGATTCTTAGAAGATCCATTCAGAGAATCCAGGATCATCTCATCTCAAATCCTGAATTTAAACACATCTGTAAAGTCCCTTTTGTCATGCAAGGTAACATAGTCACAGGCTCCCGGGATTACAGCACGGACATCTTTGAGCGCTCATTATTCAGTCTACCCTGGTGACTCATGGAATATGTCTTTTGGAATCTTTTAATGAGGAAGTCTTCCTAAACTGCAGCAGTCTCTTACTCTAAGCCTCAAAACGTTTTAGTCAATTCTGCACTCCACATTTTGGAATCACATCTTACCCAAATCAGAGATTTTGGGTTCTTGTCTGCTCAGCATGTTTACGACATGTGCGTGTGATATGACTACCCGCCTAGTAGCAAGGGGACCTCTCCTGTGGTGGGTTGAATTGAGTCCCCAGCCCCAAAAGATATGCTGATGTCCTAACTCTGATGCCTGTGAATATGACCCTATTAGAAAATAGGATGTAATTGCAGATGTAATCAAGTTAAAATAAGATCCTACTGGATTAGGGCAAGCCCTAAATCCAATGACTGGTGTTCTCACAAAGAGAAAAAGATTTGAATACGGAGACAGAGACAGAGACAGAGGGAAGATGGCCACACGACAGCAAAGGCAGAGACTGGAGAGATGCAACCGCCAGCCGAGAACTGCCAAGGACTGCTGGCAAGCGCCAGAAGCCAGAAAGCGGCAAGGAAGAAGTGTGGTCCTGCGACACATTGATTTCAGACTTCCAGCCTCCAGAAATGTGAGACAATACATTTCTGTTGTTTTAAGGCCCCCAGTTTGTGGTAATTTGTTACAGCATCCCCGGGAAATGAACACACCCAGTCCCCCTCCCCCGCCCCTACACCGTGGGTTCCCGTAAGCTCTCCCTGAAGACCTGCTACGGCAACTGCAGAGCACCCCTGTTTCCCAAGCTACGGCCCGTTTTTTTCACTGTCCCTGACACCGGGTGACAGGGAAAGGCTTTGCCATGGGAATGAACCATCCACTCACACTGCTTTCTGCAGACAGACTCAAAGTCACCACTGTGCAGTCAGTTTTTTCCTTGTTTCTTGGAAAGCACCTCTCAGGACCGTTTCAAGAAAAACAAATTGTGAGGTTAAGGATCTATTTAAAGTGAATCATCAGCTCTAGTTCCAATAACAAACCAGGCCAGTCGGGTCGCTAGGACAAGACTGGAACCACTGTGAGCGTGCACTAACTGTGGGTCAGGCATGAGCGGGTCTCTGCACCCACGTCACCTGGAGTGCCCCCTCCCCCTGTTCACTCGGCAGGCGGCCTTGGTGGCTGCCTTCCCAATCCTCTGCCCAAAAGGGACACAGAACTGCATGCTCACCAAGTAAGAATTTTCAAGCAGCTTTGAAGTACGGTTTACCATCTTGGTGAGCTTAAGAGGAACAGTTTGAACCCATTTAACCCCTTGCACTATTAATCCCCAATTGCTTGGTGAGAACTGGTTGTATGTGTGCAAAGCTCCCTGCTAGCCCTCCGGGAGCGTTGAGTCCTCAGAGTCCATGAGCAGCCTGAATCTGGATGCATCACAGATGCCTGTGTCCAGCTGGAGCTCAGAGGAAGCCAAGCACTTCTTTCATTTCAACATTCCTGACCTGTCTTCCCATAGGTGGTGGCAGTAGAATGAACCACTCATCAACTTTTTTTTTTTTTTGAGATGGAGTCTCGCTCTGTCTCCCAGGCTGGAGTGCAGTGGTGCGGTCTCAGCTCACTGCAATCCCTGTCTCCCAGGTTCAAGCGATTCTCCTGCCTCAGCCTCCCAGAGTAGCTGGGATTACAGGCACTCACCACCACACCCAGCTAACTTTTGTATTTTTAGTAGAGACAGGGTTTCACCATGTTGTCCAGGCTGGTCTCGAACTCCTGACCTCAGGTGATCTGCCCGCCTTTGCCTCCCAAAGTGCTGAGATTACAGGTGTGAGCCACCACACCCAGCCCACTCATCAAGTCTTTATTTGAGCACCCCTATATGCCAGGCACTGGCAATGCAGTGGTTAACCCATTTCTCCATGGAGCATCTGTTGAAGTGGGGGGAAGTAAAGAAAAGATTAAAACAAAATGTAAGCAGACAAGTAAATAAAAGAACTGTGGGCTGAAATAATTGTCGTAAAGAAACTTAGGAGCTAAAACAGAGAACAGACGAGGCCTGACTTTTCACCAGGTGAGCAGGAAATGGCCCTGTGAGGTTACACTCAAGCTGAGACCTAAAGGAAATGAAGGAGCCAGTCAGGGGAAGACTCAGGAAACAGTATTCCTGCCAGTAGAAGACCAGGTGCGAAGGTCCTGGGGCAGCAAAGAGCTTAGCCAGCATTCAAGGACCTGGAAGAAGACCAGGGTGACAGGAGAGTTGTGAGCACAGAGGCTCCCAAGCAAGAGGAGGCTGGAGAGGTTTGCAGGGGCCAAATCATGCAGAGCTTTACTCAAGCGTGGATTTTATTCTAAGTACAATGGGAAGCTCTTGAAGGGTTTTCGTGGTGTGTGTGTGTGTGTGTGTGCGTGTCTGTGTGTCTGTGTGTGTGTGTGTGTGTGTGTGTGCAGGGGAAGGGTGAAGGGATGACATAACATCATCTCCTCCTCTTTTCCCCCTCTTCCTCCTTCTTCTTCTTCCTCCTCTTCTTCTTTTTCTTCATCTTCGCCTTCTTCATCTCTTCCTTCTTCTCCTCTTCCTCCCCCTTCTTCTCAGACGTCCACTTTTGCAGCTATGTGGGGAGAGTTGATGTGAGGTAGGCAAGCTTGCAGGGGAAGGCCTTTTAGGAAGGATGTAGCAGGAACCTGGACTTGGGTCATGGCAGTCACAAGGGAGAGAAGGCGTGATCAGATATCTACTCCAGACGGGATTGATAGGATGTGCTGATAGATTGCAGGGAATGGGAGTGTTGGGGAGGGTCCTGGGTGACTGAGTGTCTGCTTGCTCTTTACAGGGGTTTCTGTCCCACCACAGAGTGGCATACCTGGCTCCTGGGCTCCTGGGTGACCCTAAGAAGCTGTCCCAAGATGACCATCAGGGCCCCTTCCATCCCTCACTTGGGTCTGGTGCAAGATGTCTCAGTGACTCTTACCTCTTGTGCAATAGGCAGTACTTTTTTCCAAATTTGATATTCTCCTTTGCATCTGACAGGGCCACTCTCCATTTCCTAATTACCGCAGAACAGTCTTGCCTGAAAGTGCCTTCCTAAGCTGGGGTCCTACCTCAGAATCAGTAGTGAGTTAGTAAATCAGATCTCTGGATGGTGAAAAATGAAACCCTAATTTGTAACATGTACCAATTTCTATGGTATAAATACCCCTGCCATGGCGACTTTGAAGCTATCAATAGTTAACCAACTCAAAAAAATCCTGAACAGCTAACACTTGGCTTTCACCAGCCTATAGGAGCCAGGCCTAGCTCAGTATCGCATGACTGCTGGCCTAGAACACTATGCCAAACAATTTCCTCCAGCTTCTCAAAATGCACAGTTGTCCAGCGTAGAAGCAGAGTATGCAGGAGGCTTGGTGAGCTGATGCGCTGAGTCCATAGGTCTGGGAATGAATCCAGTCAGTGACTCACTGCATGCTCAAGTGTGTCTGAATAGGTTAACTTCAAAACCAAACCGAATACTCAAGGCAACTTCTCTCTACTGGTGATGTAGAACAGCCTGGCAGAACATTCCCCATGGGTAGGTTTTGGGGAATGAATAGGGAGTCGGGAAATCTGGGTGACAACTCTGGGGCTGCTGCTAGTTGGCTCAGTGACCTCAGACATGTTGCCTGACCTCTCTGAGTCTCAACCTTCACATCCCCAAAATGAGAGGCAGATGATCTCTAATAGTCAGTCACTGAGTGTCTTCCAAGTGACAATCAGTGTCACTTGGTTAATGCAACACCAAGTTGCCTGAGGAACCTGTTTCTGACCCAGGCAACTATGCAGGTTGTGAAGCCAGAGGGGAGTTTGAGCACCAAGTTCAAGAAGGCAGTCTTGCAAGACTTTCCTCGAAGCAGCTCCTACAGACTGGCTCTTTCACCTTAAACGCCATAGTTTTGGATACAGGTAAGAGTCATGGGGACAGAAAAGGAAGGGAGACAGAGACAACCTGGGGAAGAATGATGACACTTGGTGACTGGAAGAGTATGGGAAATGCAGACAAACAAGAGATCAAAGAGAGCTCCCAAAGTTGTGCCAATGCCGTAGTTTCCCACACCACGCAGAACAGCAGGAGCAGCAGCTTTTGGGCTTCTCTGGCTGGTAGACTGTGTTTAATGACTGCAGAGGCTGCACCGTCCTAAGCTGATGAAGAACTTCCTAGAATGTCCCCTAGGACCCCTCCTATGAAATGGTACCAACACCACTCTGTGACTTTGTCCAGGGTCTGTGTGTGGCAAACACTGCCTACTGTGTGGGCCATGAGAGGCCATGAAGGGAGCTGCACAGACATCCCCCACCCACAGATCACAGACCACCCTCACGGACAAACATCCCCTTTGCCATTCATTCCATCTCCTCCCCAAGCACATCCTGAAATGCCTTCCTCATTCTATAGCAGGCATAGCTAATATCCTCTTTTATAACCCCAGTTCTCTCCATTCGAGGCCATATAGGTGAACATAGTTGAGAAGTCAGAGGAGGGGGCTGAGAAATGCTTAAATACCCGCAGAGCAAGGACCAGACCCTTTTCTTCCTTCCTTGTTCTCAGGCTTTTCTGCACGTACTGGGGGCATTGGCTGTTGACACGTGAAATATTGAGGCAGCCTTGTCTATGCGCTGGGCACTTTATTTGGGTGAATGTACCTTTTCAAAATCAAGATATTCTGGGGTTTTTAAAAAATAAAAAGTATGAAAATATCCCAAAACAGAAAAGAGTACTGAGGATAACCATATAAAAACAATTTAAGCTGAGAAAAATAACCCAGTCCTGTCGAGTCCTAAAGAGAACCTTGGTTTCCATGGGACGTTAGCAAAGTGCAGAGCTCCTAGCAGTGGGTAGGATGGAATGTTTGCAGCCTTTCCAAATAAGCAAATATCCCCCAGAATCCAGCATCCGTGCCCCACATGCTGTGGTTCCAATTTGCTTCCTGTTTTCAGGCCTCCCAGAAATACATCTCACAGACTTTTTATTTTCATCTCCCCACCTTGAAAAGCACAGATTTGCAAGTGTGAGTGTCTTAGCAGGGAGACAAATCCAGCAGGCATTCAAGACATTCAGGCAGGAAGAAATGCATCTCATCGGAAATTTTCCATCGCCAGCACTTTTTAAAAAATTCCCAATATAAATGGGCTTTTACTTGTAGGACGAAGGGCTCCATTATTTTTCAAATACTTTGCTGCTTCTAAGGAGCCAAGAAAATTGGTCATGCACCTGGCCAGCCGATCCAACCTCAAAAATCTTCTGACCTCAATGAAAAGGCTCTAATTTTTCCTTGCCTTTAATAAATGTTTCTTCTCTTCTCCCCAGCAGTATTCAGCATGTGGGGTGGGCAGGCAGGGTGCCCAGTTAATGTAAACAGGCAGGAACACCTGATTCATCAGGATTCTTCCCACTGCTCCAATCCAGGGGTCTCTGCTTCAGACAGAACCCCTAGGAAGAGAAGCATGTGACTTAGGACTTCAGGGGGACTCGAAGTGCAAATACATTATGGCACAGATTTAAATGTTTACCTGTATATGTGTATGTTAAAAAATCAATTTCTTAGAGATGGTTTGAAGGTGTCAGAAAAGCTAATTCAGGTAGAAAACATGTCCTTGCTCTGTAGATGCCTCCATTCTGTCTTCCAGAACCTGAGAGAGAAGAGCAAGGATTTGGACTGTGGCCTAGAGCGGGAATTTGCAGCTCTCTTTCCCAAGGAATGAATCGCAGCCCCTCAGGCTGGAACAGGCAGGTGCTGCGAAATCTGGCTGACAGGTCAGCTTCAAGGTGATGTGCTTGCTGAGTCTTCTCTCCTTTCAGCTAAGCTCTCATCACGCCCCTGGTGCCTGGTAAAAGTAAATAATGATGACTGAGCGTATGAAGCAGGAGGGTCTCTACACACCTGTAATTACTACCTAGCAAGTCCCTGCAGAACCCAGGAGTTCCCCCAGAGAGCCAGTGGGGCCGTTTCTGGAGAGAGTAAGTCAACGTGGGTCCTCCAGGCAAGATCTAGCTGGAGGAAGTAGAATTAAAACTTCTATCACTGGACGGATGTTTTGTCACTTGGCGGGAAAGTTCCAAGTCAAAGTTCCCAGTTTCCTAAGCTGTTATAAACCCGGTTGAAATGCTCACATACACCTGTGAGTGTCTCAAAACAAACAAAGCATAATCGCCTTAGAGCAGCACTGTCTCATAGAAATATAATGTGAACTACATGTTATTTAAAATTCTCTAGAAGCCACTTTTAAAAAGAAACAGATGAGATGAATTTTAATAATACGTTTAACTTAACCAACCCAAAACATTATCACTTCCTCATGTAATCAATATAAAAAATTGCTAGTGAGATATTTTACCAAGTCTTCAAAATCTGGATGTATACTACATTTTCAGCACATCTCACTGTGGACGAGGCATGCTTCAGGTGCTAAGAGCCACACAAGCTGTGTGCCATGTTGGACACTGCAGCCTTTGAGGCTGACATTTACACCTCACCACCTTTTGAGAGCACCTGATGCATGATAGATTTCCCACAAACATTTCATATAGAAGAGTGAACCTGTTATATGTGAAGTTTTACTTGATCTGAATATACTAGTGCTCTTAATAAAATAAGAATTACTAAAAAATTTCCTTTGAATAGTGCCAGGCGGGTCTGAAACCCAGCCTTGACTGATATTTTCATGTGCTGATAACAGCAACCAAAGTATCATGACTTCGGTTAATAATTGATTGCTCCTTGCAGGGGAAAAATAAATAAAACCGGAATCTGACTGCTCCACCCCTTAGGGCAGCTTACTAACGTCTGGATGAGCATGCTTGTGTTCTTGCACTCTCTGGGAATTAGACACAAAAACTGCCCTCAAGGACAGCACAGCCCAGGGACAGCCAGGCAGACCAATGCCTAATACTGCATGTGTGCAGGGGGTTGTGTTGGCAACAACATGAGTGGCTTCCTGGAGTGGAGGCTCCAGCTCTGCATCCTGAAGGGGGACTAGGAGGTCCTCAGGGAGGAGGGCAGGAAGGAAACATCCAGTGGAGGAAGCGGTAGGCACAGAAGTTTGCAGCCACTTGAAAAGCAGGGAGGCACAGGACCTTAGGACCCTTCTATAGTAGTCCCGTAAGCCCAGAGGGAACCATTTCACAGTGGGACAATCTATGGCAGCGTTGTCCGACCAAAATACTTGCAAGCCACATGTGTGATGGATTTCAGGAGCCACTGAAGGGTCAAAAGACAGAGATACAATTAATTGTAATGACCTGTTTTTAGCTTAACCCACGTTGTCCAAAGCTTTATCATGTCACCGTGTGAGATACCTCACGTTCTTTTTCATGAAGTCTTTGAAATGTGAGGTGTCCTTGACACCAAGAAGGCATGCATGAGTCTAGATGCAGTGTGTATATATAGTGAGTAATAACCTCTGCTCACGTTCCTGGGTCCAAAAGAGAGATCAGGACAGCTTCAAGGGAGAGGGCTAGGGATGAAAAAGGAGATAATGTCGCCCACCACTTCTGAGGGGACAACAGGCTGCGCCAGGCGCTGTAACCCGGGGGAAACGGAGGCAGCAGCTTCTCCCACGTGCTCCCAAAGGTGTCCGTGTCAACAGCATTAACTACCAAACAGAGCACTGAGGAACATTTGCTAAATGCTGCCAAGTGCCCGGACACCAGATCACAAGGCTGGCCCAGAAAAGAGCAAGTGCACCTGTGGGGGAGGAGGGCAAGTCCCCGTCGTCGGTCATCCCAGGTCACAGGGGTGCCTTTCCCTCCACTGCCAGGGAAATGCACATGCAGGCTGCCTAATGTGGAAATGTTTGGATCTGGAACAGAGAGGCTCTCAGGCCGGCGGGGAGGAGGCAGGGTGACAGTAACCAGCCGCACCGGAATGACGATGGGGAGCGCTGCACCTACGGCTTGCCAAGACCCCAGCAATATCTTTCCTAATAAGTCTAGCAGTGCCTGAGGCTCGCCTCCGAAGAACAGCCTCTCCCTTCCGCCTCTGTCTTCTTTAAGGGAGAGGGAGTGCAAGCCAAATCCAGCAAGCACTTGGACGCCGCCCTGCTCTCCCCGGGGCTCTGGGCTCTGCAACAGATCCGCTTTGTGAATGAAAGAGGCATCTCTCCAAGATGGCGCGCTCTACCCTGCGGGCACACCATGCACACGCCACTCCTCCAGCTGGTCTCGGGGACTGCAGTCCTTCTCTCCTGGATGGGTTGGGGGTGGGGGGCTGTTGAGAGCTTTCCTCCTCCTTTTCTTCTTCCTCCTCCTCCTGTCTCCCTAACCCTGGAAGGGGGCCATCCACTGAACTTCGGAAAGAGGTCACCCTCCCTGAAAGGGGGACTTGGATTGCTGCATCCAGAGCCACCCCCTGTGGTCCCTCAATCTAGCCACACTCAGTTGCTAAAGCAGGGAGAGGTTTCCTAGTCCGGTGTTCCGGCCCCACGCAAACGGAGCTCAGGATGACGCCACATGTGTGTTTGGGTCAAAGCGCTTTTAACTGTGGCTCCAAGAACAGCCTGTACAGCCACTTGAGTTTCCCAGTAAGAAGGAATGTACAATAGATGAGACTTTACTGGCAAAACAATTTTTAAAAGTAAAGGGAGAAGCAGCAGCCCAGCCTTGTCTCTTTATAGGGTCCTAGAGAACCGGTGGTGGCTGGGTTGAAAAGCACAGCGCTTAGCCATTCAGCAGTTTATGACCTCACCAGGTCCTTGTAACAAGGTTACCGGAGGGGTTTTGCAAGCTTCTAGACCCAGGTGTGGCTGAAGTTGAGCTGCTCAGGGACAGTGGTTTTCTTGCCACTGGGAGAAGGTTACCAAGAATAATTTTCCTGCCCCAGGACTTGTAGATGATTAACGTGTTTCTTTCGCTTAACCAGAGAGTTAATGGTTATTCAAAGCACTCTTTGATGATGGAGGGTGGAGGGGAGAAAATGAATGCGTTAACCATTAATCCAGGGAAATGCCATAAAAATTAAAATGGAAAACACTCAACCTGGGAAAGGAATTCACTGGCTGGAAGGGTCAGCCAGGCAAACCTGGTGAGGAAGGAGGAAGAGAGGAGGCCAGAGGGAGGCCTTACAGTTCACGTATACTTAGAGCTGGGTTTTGTTATTTTTTGTTCCGTTTCCTTGTTTCATTGCTCCGAGGAAACAGTAGAAATAACAAAATCACAAACATGGGAACATTACAAATAAAGTCAGTTTTATTGGTCTTTTTGCTCCAGCCTCCCACAGCTGAGCCTGTCTGACTTATCCCCTGTCTGACTCGTTCCCCGGCCTCTTTGGGGAGCAGGAGGGGAGCTCAGGCAATCCATGCTTGGAGAAAGTCGAGAGTGTTTTTAGGAGGCTGGTGCTGACAGAGGCATGCAGCTCTGGCTCCCGGCCTCTTCTTGGGGCCACACTGGCCAGCACCCAGGCACAGCCATCATGGCGCCTGCCCCAGTCACCCTGCTGGCACCTGGGGCAGCATCCTCAATGTCTTGCAGCCAGCCCGGTGCAATAAACAGGAAGACTTCGGGGAAAAACTCCTGCTTGGCATAGGCTACTCCCAGTCACCATCTGGGACACGTCATGATGAGCTATGAGCTGGCACCAGTGGGAATCTCTGATGAAGGATGGGACTCCCCGAAGCATCACACATGTGTGGAGCATTCTCTAGTAGGAAGACCTTTTTAGAGTACAAAGGCCAGATCCTGCCCTCAAGGGGTTTACAGGCCATTAGGGAGATAAAACAACCTAGGGCAAGTGCTGGAG
Source organism: Homo sapiens (assembly GCF_000001405.40). Classification (NCBI taxonomy): domain Eukaryota; kingdom Metazoa; phylum Chordata; class Mammalia; order Primates; family Hominidae; genus Homo; species Homo sapiens. The sequence goes on from NC_000001.11 coordinate 234,818,385, forward strand.
ATGCAGCATCAGCCAACTGCTGAATACACTCAAAAAAATGAGAGCCCACTGGATTGTCTGGGAGCCTCCTAGGAAAGCTGAGTCCAAGCTGGGCTGGGAGGTTGGATAAGGCTGTGGCCGGGAGAAAAGGGAGAGGCAAGGCAGAGAGAGAAAGGAATGGCAGAAATGTGTAAGGAAGAGACCTATTTGAAGAAGAGGAGAGAAAAGAAATTAACACTTGGAAGATAGGTTTGGGTCTGTCTGTGGGAGCCTCGTTGCCCAGCTGCATTTATACCCCATCACTGGCACTGTGGGGAGTTTTGAGAGGAGAGTGAAATTAACAAAGTGGGGCATGGGAGGAGGGGGGGTCATGAAGGATGAGAGCAAGCAAGTCACCATGTGGTTACAACAGTGACCCAGGGGTGCTCTCCAGGAACATGTGGGGCAGGGGAGCCCAGGGCAGGAGGAGGGCCCCGCTTCCTCTGTGCTCTAAAAAGGGAAGGGATCAAGGGGTGAAGATTCCAGCCCCTTTGGAAGTGGAGGAGGCTAGGGAAGAGCTCTTACTACAGGGAATCCTGTTCTCATGGACCTGGAGGCCAGGGCCTTTGCTGAGAACATGGCAGGGGAGGGCAAGGGCTCACAGAGGGAAAATTCAAAAACTCCAACAACTACTGGGAAGGAAGTGGAGTGAGGAAGGGATGAAGAGAGTGAATTTGTGGGTTCGGTGGACAAGGTTTTCTGGCTCTTCCTAGCATCCCAGGAGTTCAGAAAGCACAGGGTAAAAGCCACTTACTTTCTCCCTCTACCTTGATGGAGGGTTGACTATGGGCTAGTGCTGGTCTAGGAACTGAGGGGAGATGAAGGGCCTCAGATACATGTTCTCTGTCTTCACCAAGCTTGTTGCAGAGTGAAGGTAAGAAACATAATACAATTGCAATAAAGAGAAATGGACATGGGTCCTGCCCATTTGAATCAGAGATTGTTAGAAATACAGACTTCTGCCAACTGATTAAATCCCACCACCACCACCGCCACCATTATCAGAAACTTTCTTGGCACAGGGCACAAGCTTGTGTCTTTTTTTCAAGGCTAGTTCTAACACACGGTGTAACATCCATGAGTCAGATTGTCTTGGTTTCTATCCCAACTTTACCACTTACTGACTCTATGTGTGTGTGACTGCTCTTGCCTCAGTTTGTTCATCTAAAAAATAGGATAATAGCAGTACCTACTTCGTAGGATTAAATGTGATCTTTCTTATAAAGTCCTAAGAAACAGCCTAACACAGCAGGTGCTTAGTAACTGTTGGCTGTTCACTAAAGGGCATGACTAGGGTTGTGGTAGGGGAAAAACACGGTGCTGTGGGAATCCAGGTGGGGGATCTAACCTGGACCTGAGGGTCAGGGAAGGCTTTCTGGAAGAGGTGACTTCCAAGCTGAGACATGCAGGAGAGTGAGGAGTGAACCAGGTCGCATGGGTGAAAGCGAGAGTTTAAGCAGAGAGAACAGCAGGTGCAAAGTTCCCAGACAAGAGATCCAAAACCATGGAAGGGACTGACTGTGGTTTGGTGGGGCTGGAATGCAGGGCGAGGCAGGGCTGTGGAGGGGCAGGAGATGTCCAGATCCTGGAAGTGTTTGAATTCTATCCTGAGGGCCACAGGACGCTGCTGCAGGGCTTTAAGGAGAGAGGGATCTGATCTGTGATTTGAGGCATCCCTCTTGCTACGGTTTGAAGAGTCGGTTGAAGGCACAAGCCCAGAGCCAGAGGCGAGTGAGGAAGAGGTTGACATGATCCCAACAAGGGAGACAGAAGGTCTGAACTAGGAAAAGGGCTGTGGAGAGGGAGAAAGTGGGAAAACTGACAAGCACCTGGGTGGCCGATGGAAGTGGGGGGCTCAGGAAGATGAGCGTGCCAAGGGTGGCTCTGGACTTGGGTTTGAGCAACATTTCCACTGGATGGATGTTGAGAAAGGGAAGATGGAAATGGAGCACATTTGGGGAGAGAAATATAAATTCAGGTTTCAGTACATTGAGGTTTTTAGTGCGTATGAGATGTCCCAGTGGAGATGTCTGTCCACTGGGCAACTGGACATCAGGCTTTGGTGCTCAGGACCTATGGTGGG